>NC_000012.12:113672249-113823764 GCF_000001405.40 Homo sapiens
TTAAAATCTGCTCATATCCATGTGTTTAGAAAGTAAAAAGAAATGATGAAATTAGTTTTAATAATATGCCTGATTTCACCTAGCATGTCATTCCCATCATCAATATTTTCATTCCCATCATAAATATAGAAATATTGGCTGGGCAGGGTGGCTCAAGTCTGTAATCCCAGCACTTTGGGAGGCCAAGATGGGTGGATTGCTTGAGCCCAGGAGTTCGAGGCCAACCTGGGCAACATGGGGAGACCCCATTTTTACAAAAAATAAAATCAGCCAGCCTTGGTGGCTCTCAACTGTAGTCCTAGCTACTGGGGAGGCTGAGGTGGGAGAATTGCTTAAGCCTGGGAGGCAGAGGTTGCAGTGAGCTGAGATCACACCACTGAACTTCAGCCTGGGCAACAGAGTGAGACTATCTCAAAAAAAAAAAAAAAAAAGAAGAAAAATAGAAATATCTTTAATGGGATATTTTACATTTTTTTTTCTACTAAGTCTTCAAAATCCAGTGTTTTTTGTTTTTGTTTTTTTTTTTGCATTAACAGCAAATCTCTATTCAGACCTTCAACAATTCAAGCACTCAATAGCCACATGTGGCGAGCTACCGTATTGGCAGTGTAGTCCTACACGAAAAAGATTTTTTCACTGGGCCGTAAACCAGGTAGTTTTTTAAAAAATTAAAATTAAGCCCAGGTGCAGTGGCTCACGCTCGTAATCCCAGCACTTTGGGAGGCCGAGGCGGGTGGATCGTGAGGTCAGAAGTTTGAGACCAGCCTGGCCAACATGGTGAAACCCCGTCTCTACTTAAAATACAAAAATTAGCCAGGTGTGGTGGTGTGCACCTGTAATCCCAGCTACTTGGGAGGCTGAGGCAGGAGAATCGCTTGAAGCCGTGAGGTGGAGGTTGCAGTGAGCTGAGATCACATCACTGCATGCTCTAGCCTGGGTGACAGAGAAAGACTCTGTCTTGGAAAAAAAATAATAAAAAAATTAAAATTTTATATTTTTTAAGACAGCAAGTGATACCCTCCCTTCTATAGCTAACATATCTATGTTGATATTTTAAGCTGTGGATCCAGCATGGTCTTTGAACTCACCCTGAATGGTTGGGTGATTTTCTTTTCTTTTCTTTTCTTTTTGTCCAGAGGACTGTGCTGCAGGGCCACATTTAAGAGAAACTGGGGCTTCCTTGTCACCCCAGAGTCTGAGTGCAGCGGCCGCCTCCTCTCTAGAGAAAAGGATATATAACGCTGAACGCTGTGAAATTTGCCGCTGTGAGAACAGCTAATTTTTCACACCCAGACGAACTGGCTGGGTTTGTTAAAGCCCAAGATAATCAAATAATCATTATAACTCATCTTCGCCCCTCCTGTCTTTCGCTCTTTGTACCATTAATGTCCCAGTGGGGAGCAGCACTGGGTTAGTTCAGACCTAGCCTATTTAGATAACCTTCTGGTTGGTCTTCTGAGAGCAAAATATCCCTCCTGGAGTATCTTACAACAAATGAACCAATCCTCTCTAATCTTCTTATCGTTGTAGCCTCTGCTCCAGGCCTGGTTATCTCTTGGGCTTGCAAAAGAGAGAAAGAGAGAGATTTATACATATATATTTATGGTGCATAGAAATTTATATAAATATATGTATATGCATGAGATAACAAAAAGGGAGGTGCCAAGCCAGAGCCTAAGCTCTTTTCTGTCTCTCCCCAGTGAGGCAGCCGGGCTGCAGCGGGCCGGCCCCTCTCCCTGGTTAGGGAGGCGTGGAGAAGCCCCTCACCGGGGCAGCCTGCCCTCCCTCCACCTGCGGCAGTGGCCGGCTGGGCAGGGGAGAGCGAGAGGCTCTGCGGATAGGACCCGGGGTGGGGGCCTGTCCTGACCAGCGAGTGGCAGGGAGCAGCATCCAAGTGGCCGGCCCCCCTGGGGACCCACCTCACCTGTCACTGAGGTTGCCTACCCTTCCTTCCTTCCTTCCTTCCTTCCTTCCTTCCTTCCTTCCTTCCTTCCTTCCTTCCTTCCTTCTCTCCTTCCTTCTCTCCTTCCTTCCTCTCTCTTTTCTGTTTTGTAAAAATTTACTTTATTTTACTTTTTTGTTTTTTATAGAGTTTGGGGTCTCACTACATTGCCCAGGTGGGTCTCAAACTCCTGGGCTCAAGCAATTCTCCCTTCTCGGCATCCTAGAGTGCTGGAATTACAGGACGAGCCACCACGCCTGGCCCTATGGTTTTTTTTTTTTTTTGCCCTCTCTAGTTCCTTCTCTCTCCTTCTCTGTCTTTTCTCTCTCTCTTCCCTCTATTTCGCTCTCTGTCTCATCCCCTCTCTGTCTCTCCTCTCTGTCTCTGTCTCTCTCTCTCCCTCTCTCCTGTTTTTCTTTCCTCGTCTCTCCCTCTCCCGCCTCTCTTTCTGTATGTCTCTCTCGTTCTCTCTCCTTTCTCCTAGTTTTTTCCCTCTGTCTGCCTCCATCTCAGTCTCTCTGCTCTTCCTGTCTCTCCCTCCTTCTCTGTGCCTTGATCCTAGTCTCTCTCTCATTTATTCTCTTCTCCTTCCCTTCATTCCTCTCTCTCTCCCCCTCCCGATTTTCCCTCCTTTTCTTCCCACCCCCTCTGACCAACTCCCCTGACTCCAGCATTCTCCTCTCTCTCCAGACCCTCCTCTGGTGTCCTCTGAGTCCCCCCTTTGCCCAGCCCCCCATCGCCATCATCCCTTCCAGAGCACCTGGCCCCTCCGGCCTCCCTCTGCCACCTCTCCCTGTGGCCACTCACACCCACGTTCTCTCCCTCACCTCCCTCCGCACCCCTTTCTCTCACTGTTCCCATCACTCTCACCTCTGTTCCTCCATCAGCCTTAATTTCTGATTAATAATGTTCTTAGCCAAGGAATGAGAGAGAGAGAGAGAGAGAGAGAAGGGTGGTGTTGGGAAATCTTCTAAATAAATCATTTCGTTATGTGAAGAGCTAATCTGCAAGTGACGGTCGCTGTTTATCGAGTTTTTAGCAGTGCATGTTAAATAGTGATATGGAGGCTACATTTTAAAAACCCCATCGGAGTGCTGGGAAGGGATTTTTAACTTCATTGCCCAGAAAGAAAAATGGTAAAGAAGAAGATAAGACTGCTTGGAAGCGTTGGCCCTGAACCGTTAGCAGGAGCAATTAGCAGGCTGGGGCGGAGGGCGAGAGGCTGCCGGTCTGGCTGGCTGGTGGGGACCCAGGCCTCCCAACCCTCCCCTCCTCCAGCCCCAGATGCAGTCCCCTCTGCCGCCTCCACTGGAGTCATCCCTTTCTCTCCACCCACGTCTGTTTCATACCCAAGAGATTAAAACACAGGTCTTGAGTTGGGCTGGTGGCTTTCAAACACTGCTGCCACCACTAAGTGTGTCTGTTGGGCAGGAAACTTTGCCTCCTCGGGCCTCATTTTCCCCGTCTGGCTTCCTTGAACAGGAGTGCTTGAGATCCGAAGAGGGGGAAAAAGACTAGCTCTAATATACTAAAAGAAACTTCAGGAATCAAAATGGAGCATAATGTCCGAAACAAAATTACAAAATTCCTTCTTGATTGTTTTCACAGAAAATTGTCTTTAATGCAGGATATGGGTGCATTTTAGTGTATTGGATATGCTGGGACAGGCGACTTCCAAATATGAGCATGCTTAGAACCCCTGGAGTTCTTAAAACAGTCCCAATGCTGCTTCTGGTAATAATAATAGAATAATAATGGTAATAACATCTGCTTCTCCTTTTTTGAGTGTGTGTCGTGCTAGGGACGATGATCTGTACTTTGCATATGCTATTTTATGTGATTTTAGCTTATTTCCTCATCTTTCTGCCTGTCCCCAGAAAGATTAGATTGAGTTTTTATTGCCTCAGAGACCAGACCGAGACTGGGGTGTGAATTTACAAGGAGAGACTGACTGCGGCTCGAAATGAACCCATCTGTGAAGGGTGGACCTGGTGCTGGACTTTGAGGATGCTAAGCTGAGCAGGACCAGACCCAGAGCTTGAAATGCTCAACGGAGCTGCCCAGCAGTGGACTGACAAGCTTTGCAAGGTGGGGAGTCTCCCGTCGACTGGGGGCAATCAAGTTCAGATGCCCTAAAAGGAATTCCCGTCTTGAGGGTGAATGAGGATTAGATTCTGGAGTTCGACTGACCTGGATTTGAATCCCAACTCTGCCAGTTGTGTGGCAAAGAAACTTAAGCCTGTTTACCTCAGTCTTGGCTATAAAATGGGTGTAGTTAAACCTCACAGGGAGAGTGAGTTCAAGGGCTAAAGAGAGTTTCTGCAAAAGGCAAATCATCTGCAAAAAGCACTGCTCAGTACACGGCAGTGATCATAATTCTCTGTCTTTTTTCTTCTTGCCGACCTCCAATGAGCTAATGGAGGGGAAGGTAACCAAGACTGGCTCCAGCAGCTGATGTGGGTCTCTAACTCAGCTCCAGCCTCCCATTTGCCCAGTGATCATGCACCTGCTGGGCCTCAATTTCCTTATCTGTAAAATGGGGATGATTGCGTATCTATAAAGACTGTACTCACACAAAGGGAGAATAATCAGCAGGAGTAATATAAACAGTTACCATTAATAGTACAGGGGCCAGGGATTTGCAGATGCACTTAAGTTAAGGGTACAAGCCCTGGGTTCAAGTTCCAGCACTGCCACTTACTAGCTGTGTGACCTTAGATAAATCACTTCACCTCTCTGTGCCTCCACATCTCATATATGAAATGTGCCTGCATCACCGGGCTGTACTGAGTGTTTCAGTCTGGACTCCCTAGGTAGAGTTTTTGCTTTAGGAAGGCAGGGCTGAGGTCTTGGGTTTCTCTGTATCCCTTGAAGTAGAGGGCTGGAGACACAGGCTTAGTTAACAAAGTGTTTGTTGACTGACTGTTTTATAAATATGCAAATAGCAACTCCAGCAAGAAGCTGTAACAGATGCTGTTGGTTGCCACACCTATCACTTGGCACATCCTGGACTGTTCAGATGACAGTTCCCAAAGACATTGATGGCATTCTACATCCAAACCTGCCTCTGCCCGAGGGCTTCCGATGGCCATAGCCATGTGCTTGGTCCCTACACAGGGTAGATGAGAAGTGCCTAGAAGTTAATTCCCCCAAGATCAACCTTCAATCAATGACCATGGGGGTTGGTGGACAAATGTCCCAGCTTCTGTGTCCTCAGAGCTGTGATCTTAGTGGCCTCCCAGGCACCCCCCTTGGGACTGAACCCAGCTGCCCACAGCAGTCACTTGCTCATAAGTACATCTGGATTGGTTTCCTCTTCTTTCTTGTCTCAATTTGGGAAGAACCCAGCCTTCCCAGAATGGCTTACATTTGCATCCCACAGAGCCTCCTAAATTCACACATTGACAAAAATATGTTCTCACATTTTTGCATTGTCAACTCCTATCAGCACTCTGAAGAGATATCAGGTGTGCTGAGAACTTCTAAAAGGGTAGATCTGCTCCAGTCTAAGCGGCGAGGTGGCTTCTGCAAGGAGGAGATATTGAAAGAGATCTGAAGAATAAGAGTTTACAAGCGGGTGGGGTGAAGGGCATCCCAGGTAGGGGAATAGCCTGTGCAAAGGCCCTGCAGTGGAACAGCATGTTGAGTTTTTGGCAGAGAGTGAGGGCGGCATGTGCCCCCTAACTTACTGTGCGATCCAGGAAGTCACTTCACACCTCTGAGCCTCATTTTCTCTATCTGTCAAATGGCCCAAAGCTACCTACTCCTGCCCATAGCTTCTGCAAAACAGGATGTGGGAACTTGGAAGTTAAAAGTGATAAAAGTGACCTAAGGATGGACCCAGTAATAACAATTAATGTTTTCTTCTAATGGCCGGTGGTTGAGTAGCTACCATTGAGACACCAAGCAAGGCTGTGTTTGGTTCATAATGGTTTTCTCCAAAATTTTTGTCCTCATAGAGTGATCATTTAGTGGGGGAGAGTGTCAAAGAAACAAATACACAAATAGCTGCAAAGTATGATATATGCACTGATGAATTTTGTAAAGAAAAATGAAGCAGAAAAGACAGACAGTGTGGGAAAGGAGATGTGTTTTAGATAAGGCCTCAGAGAGCAGAGACTTGAAGCAAGTGGAGGAGACAACTGCAAATACCAGGTTCAGAGCAAGCCAGGCAGAGCTAACAGGAGGTACAAAAGTCCTGAGGCGGGAGTGACTCATTGGAGAGACATAGCAAGGAGACTGGTGGGGCTGAGGCATAGTGAGCAAGATGGAGTGGGGGTGATAGGAGCAGAGGTCAGAGAAGTCATGGAGATTCAGATCCCGCGGGGCTTTGTGAGACTAAGGTGGGATGTTTGGCTTTTAACCTGAGTGAGCAGGGATCCGGGGAAGGAGTCAGAGCTGTCGTGGATGACATCATGTGACTTATGTTTAAGGAGCATCCTGGCACTGTATGGAGAATGGCCCGGCAGAGGGCAAGGTTGGAGGCAGAAAGGCAATTGACGAGCCCCCTCCCTAGCCCACTTCCCAACTCAATGCATTGGACCTGTTCCCTACAGGGACATCCCTCCAATGTCCAATCCCTAGGCCGTGCCAGCCAGTGAGTGATGGGCTGCAAATGAGTGGGCAGGCAGGCACCTCTAATTTCCACAAGCGCCGTGGGTAAAGGCTGTGGCAACGTGCAATTAAGCTCCGAGCTTTGAAAACATGGTAATAAGGGAATACGGGCCGAGGAGGCAGCCTGGTAATTTAAATGATATCCAGCTCGAATATGGAGTGTCTAAATGTTCTCTTCCAGAGATTTATATCAGCATAGACCTGCCTTATTCATTTATTTAGTTAACTAGCTACTTATTGGTACATCCTCCCAGCCGCTCTCCAGTGGAAGAAACAGAGGTCTGGGTGGCTGCTGGGGGTGACACAGTGGAGGGCTGGTCATAGGGGGAATAACGACTGCAGTTATCATTGGTGTGTGTTGAAGGCCTACTGTGTGCATGCTGAGGATCTAATGTGAGAACCAGAAGTGGTGTTTGCATGAGTTTATGAGATCCGCCTCATTGTGACATGAGGAAACCGAGGCACAAGGAGGAGAAATGACTTGTTCAAGTTCACACTGCTAGTGAATGATGTGCCTGGGATTCAACCCAGGTCTCCTATACCAAAGCTGCAGCTTTGCCCATGATCTAACATTGAATATCGGTTCCTTGATTCTTTGTCATTTTCTTGATATTGGTCCTGGCGTGTGTGGCTGTTTTCCGTCTAATGGTTGTGCAGCCATCAGAATTTATCCTGGTCAGGTGTGGTGGCTCACATCCGTAATCCCAGCACTTTGGAAGGCAGAGGCAGGAGGATCACTTGAGCCCAGGAGTTTGGGACCAGCTTGGGCAATAACAACAACACCAAAATTAGCTGGGTGTGGTGGTGTGCACCTGTAGTCACAGCTGCTCGAGAGACCAAGGTGGGAAGACTGCTTGAGTCCAGGAGTTTGAGGCTGTAGTGAGCCATGATCGTGCTACTATACTCCAGGTGGGTGATAGAGTGAGACCTTGTTTCTAAAAAAAAAAAAATTAAATTATCTTGAGTGTATCCTGTACATAAATCCATCACCCCATTCAGACTCTCCAACCTGAGTGGGACTTTATAAATCACATAGGCCAGGGCTCTCAATTTCAGGTACCTCCAAGGGTAGTAAGGCGAAGAAGATAACCTACAAGGGCTATACGCAAAAAAAAAAAAAAAAAAAGTTTCTCAGTTTTGTTAGAGACACGAATATTAAAAATATGTCACTTTCATCTTTACCAGAACAGTGGTGTAAGTGCAATGGTAAATGGAGCTAATGCTCCTCTTCAGTGCCTGAGATGTGATAGGGAGTGGTGGGGACTGTGGCATTCATGGGAGCAGCTGCAATTCAGCTCTGGCCAAATATTGCCCCCTGAAATATGGATCCAGAACTTTAAGTTATTGAAAGATGCTGGAAATCTAAAGTGGCATCATACAATTTCCTTTTAATTGTGGGATCAACTTGTTTAAAGACACTCCAAATAAAAATATATTTGCAGGCTGGAGTCTGCTCAGGGAGCCCTGTTTGAAACTTCTTGTCCAGTCCAATGCCTGCATCTTGCAGATGAGATGGCTGAGGGCTGGAGAGGGTACGAGGCTCTGAAGGTTGCACAGGATCTGAGAGGTGGAGCCTGAAACTCGAAGCCAGGTAGCCTCACCCTGCATCAAACCTGCCCATTGCTCCTGGACCACTACAGCCAGGGAGCTTTTCCTCCTCTCTTCTCCTGTATCCCTGGTTCTCACCCACTCTTCCAGGCCCAGCTTATGTCCCTCTTCTGCCAGGAGGTCTGCCTGACCACCCCAACTTATTCCCCATGTCCAAACTCCTAAATCTGTTTTTCCCAAACTTCATTCATGACTTTCACTTTGCCCATACACTGCCTGTGCTATTATTTACTGAAATTTTTCTTTAAACGAACTCCTTTGAAAAAAAAAAAAAAAACCCAAACACATTATTTTAAAAGAAGACTTAGGATCAGTACTGTAGAGAGAATATCCCTTTGCCATAAAGAGAAAGTAATAGATACACTAAATGCAGTGAAAACAAGTCAGTTAATGTTATTACATTCCAACAAGGCACAGTTTGGAAAAGGCTCAAAACCTGGGGCTTGTTCTCTCTTTGTTCAAAAAGGAGCTGAGCAAAAATATACCTACCCAATGACCAGAAATTCCACACTTGGATATACCCAGCCAAAATAAGGCCATCAAAAGACATGCACAAGAATATTCATGGCAGCCTTATTCATAAGAGCATCAAAGTGGAAACTACCCAGATGTCCAGCAACAGGACAATGGGCAATAAACAGGGGTGTGTTCATTTGATGGAATATTATGCAGCAATGAAAAAGAATGAACTGTGAGCACACTATAACATGGATAAATCTCACAGATATAATATTGAGTGGAAAAAGCAGATCCAAAAGGTACGGACATGTCTATCCACTGATGAATGGGTAAATAAAATGTGGCTTATTCATGCAATGGAATACTAGTCAGCCACATGAAGGAATGAGCTACTGATACCTGCTGTCACCTGGATGGACCTTGAAAACACCATGTTAAGTGAAAGAAGCCAGATGCAAAAGGTCACATATGTATAATTTTATTTACATGAAACGTCTAGAACAGGTAAAGCCATAGAGACAGAAAGCAGATTGGTGGTTTCCAGGGGCGGGGAAGAATGGGGGAGATTGAGGAGTGTTGGCTGAAAGATTCTTTCTGAGGTGATAAAATATTCCAAAATGGATTGTGGTGGTGGCTCTACAACCTTGTAAATATATGAAAAGCCATTGAGTTGTACACTTGAAATGGGTGAATTGTGCAGTGTGTAAATTATATCTCAATAAACTATTTAAGGGAAGGGTCCATATTATATGATTCCATTTGACTGAAGTTCAAAAGTAGGCAAAACTAGCTGAGTGCAGTGACTCACACCTGTAATCCCAGCACTTTGGGAGGTTGAGGTGGGAGGACCGCCTGAGCCCAGGAGGTTGAGGCTGCAGTGAGCTGACATTGCACCAGTGCATTCCAGCCTGGGCAAATAGTAATAATAATAATAATAATAATAATAATAATAATAATAATAATAGGCAAAACTAATCTTAGGTGAATAGAAGTCAGACTAGCGGGTATGCTTGGAGAGGGTATTGACTGGGAGGGCATGTGAGGGCCCCCTGGGGGCCATTGGGATTCTACTATCTTGATGTAAACATCACTTTGGTGGTGGAAATGTAAAAAGTTATTGAGCTATACATGAAAGCTTTGTGTACACTTTCATGTATTTAAGTTACACCTCATTTTTTTTTTAATGGAGACAACGAGAAGGTGTTAGAGATGGGGCAGCACCAAAATGAGCCTTTCTCAGTGATGGCATTAGAAGGACCAAGGAGAATTGAAAAGGAGTGACTTTCTCCCTCTGTTGCTCAACATTAGCTAATGCCCTTTCTCTGCACCACCTAAAACTACCTTTAGTACCACAGAGGAGAGTTCCTGCCTTCCATTCTTAGAATAGTTCCATGGGAATAATCCTGAGCCAAGGGTTCTTCACTTCTCATCTCATTAGAAACACACCCCCCTCATTATCCCCTTTGTACAGATGAAGAAACTGAGGCTCAGAGAGTTTGGAGAATTTGCCCAAGGTCTCCCAGTTACTAAGTGGCAGAGCTGGGATTTGAACTGCCTGGAACCCTGAGTGCCTTTGTCACTCCTTTTCCTCCTCTGAAGCTTGGACATCTCACAAGAGCCCTTCCTGTCAGGGTGTCACCCCGGAGATTGAATACCCCCCAGGCAAGGAAGCTCACTACTGTTCCAGGTGATTTGTCCCATAATTGGGCACTGAGTGTCCACACAGCCCTGTTGAGCCTTGGCTCTGGTGTCTTCTGTGTCCACTCTTGAGGACGTGACCAGCTTGGTGGCCCCTGAGGTCACCAACCCTAACAGCTGGGTGAAGGAAAATCTCACCCATCTCCAAACAGACCCCACTGGCCATGCCCATTCACTCCTCCTGTCCCAAAAACTCTGCTGCCTTGAGGGTCTGGAGTCCTCGGCCTAAGGAGGGCCTTATGCTGTGTTGAAAATGACCACCCTGTGGCCTCTTTGAATGTGGGGACACGCAGACAAAGCAGAACCTTGTCCTCTACATGAAAACCCTTTTTGTGTCAGACAAGCCCTTTGCTGTGTAGAGAATCACTTCCTCCTTTCCAAGCCTCAGTTTCTTGATCTGGAAAAATGAGGACTACAGTGGCAGCTTTCTCAGCGGCTGAAATGAGATCTTGGTGTGACCATGATGCTGTTTTATGTGTACCAAGAGAAAGTGAGTGTGATGTTAGGACCCTGAGATTTGGTGTATGACAGACCAGGCTTCGTACCCAGCACAGTACCTGGTGTGTTGCGGCTGATGGGAGGACTTGCTGGAGAAAGGTGTGAATCAGGGATCTGCTCTTCTGCCTTCTTGCCATCTCGGGCAAGTTCTGCAGCTGGCCGATCCTTGGGCCCTCTTCTATCGAGTGGAGATAATGGTACCTTCCCCATCACTTTGTATGAGACTTCAACGTGAACATGCCTTAAAATTACACTTCTCAAACTTCAACCTGTGCATGAAACACCTTTTATTAAAAGAAATGCAGCTTCTACTGAGTAGATCTGGGTTGGGCCCATGATTCTGCATTTCTAGTCAGCTCCCAGGTGATGCTGAGGCTGCAGGTCTGCAGACCACATTTTGAGTAGTGAGTCATTGAAGCGCTTAGCACATTGCAAATGCTCAATAAATGCAAGCGATCTACAGCCTTAAATTTCTGTCTTTCCAGAGTTTCCTGTCTCCCAGCTTCCTTCCTCCACCCCCTGGTCCCTAATTCTCTTCCTGTTCCTGGGAGGCAAGGGCACTGGGGCCTCCTTCCCTCCCGAGAGTCCCTCAGCCTCGTGCCTGTCCCCACATGCTGCAGGGCCCATTTCACCCCTCCAGCCGCAGGGGCAGGTTCCTTCTGCCCATGGCTGCCTTGGGTAGGTTTTCAGGAACAGCTGCCAGCAGCTGAGATATAATGACTGCCTGGAGAGTCGTTAGGAGATAATTAATATTTGCAGCACAGAGCTGTGACTGCTAAGCCGCTCCCATCCACAGAACTGGGGCCTCCAGCTCTTCCCGGCTGAGGGTCCCAGACCCTAAGGGCAACACATCCTTGGGGCAAGAGGGGGACCCTGGAGGCAGGGGCTGCGGTATGGCCATTGGGTTCTGTTTCGGGAGGTTCTGTTTCCACTCAGCTGCTAGGGTTGGTGACCTCTGGAGGCTTCCAGGCTGGATACAGCATCAAGAGTGGTCAACGAGGGCACCAGGGCCAGGGCTTAAGGTGGCCACAGCCCCTCCTTGCACCTGAGGCCAGCTGGCCTTTGGCGGTTGCCATGGTGATGGTCGTCCCCAGCAGTTGGGCAAGGACGTTGCAGCAGCAGCAGCAGCAGCAGCAGCTGTGTGTGACTGCATGAGAGAAAGACGGTCCATCTCGGCTCCCGGCTCCCCTCCGGCTCTCCATCTGTGAGGGGCAAACATCTCAGCCACCCAAAGTCACCCCCGTCAGTGCTTATGTCAGAGACAGCTCCAGCTGGAGGTCTGGGCTTTCGTCTGCCACCGGGCATTTGTTTTGGTGTGGTTTGCACCGTGACTCAGCCAGAGCCTGATCACTCTCCCAGCTCACATGCTTAGCAGCTGCAGGACCCTGCTAGACCATCACACTTTCCAGGGCCTCAGTGGTCAGGTCTATAAAATGGGGCTAATCACACCCAGAAGGTTATGGTTAGGATTAAATGAGATAAGGTTTGTAAACAAGTAGTTCTCTTTGGGAATAGAATGTTGTTGTTGCCAGATGGTGGGTCCCAGAAATTTAAGAGGGAAGGGACTTCTCCTATGGCATGTATTCACTTCATTTATTAAGTGCCTCCTGTATACTAGCACTGTGTTCCATTTGTGAAATATATTCCTTCATCTGTTGATTCCTTCCAGGACACCAGCTGCCTCATCTCAATTAATTCTCACAGTGTGTAGGAAGGCCCTATCATCCCCACTCTACAGATAAGGACGCCAAGGCTCAGAAGGTCACACAAGGCTCAAGAGATCACAGCCCCATGGTTACACAATGAGAATGCTGCAGAGCTGGAGTTCCAACTCCCAAGCCTACTCTTTTCTCTCCACATCACAGTTCTAACTTGCCTTCGGTTTGCCAGGAAAACCTGCATTCAAATCCCAGCTCAACCGTACCCTTGCTGTGTGACCTTGGCCAAACGATCTCTGAGATTCAGTTGCTTCTCTGTAGAATGAGGAAAATAGCAGAATCTGCTTTATAGGGTACTGTATGGATTAAATCAGATGTGTGTCAAGTGTTTAGTATACAGTAAATGTCCACTAATTGCAACTATGATTTTCATTGTTGTTATCATTAGTATTTCTCTACCTGTGGGGAGTTGGACCCCATGATCTCCAAGTTCCCAGCTCGAGCTCATATCCACATGTGGGTTGGAGTGCCTCTGATCTTTAATATTTTGGGGTTTGGGCTGGCTCCTGTGGCTGGGAGATAAGCCTTTTGGGAAGGATGATGGCAAGAGGGTCTGACATTTCCGGATTCCCTCAGCCTGCTTTCTGATCATATGCCTGTTCCTGCCACGCAGCATTAGGCCGGGTGTGTGAACATAGAGGGGGGCTGGGGAGGGAAGGGGGGAGCCTTTCCCTGGGAGGCTGCCTTCTGTCGCTAGACAAACAAACACGCAGTACCCACGCTCGTTTGGAAATGGAGCAAGGCGTTAAATACAAGCAAACAGCGGAGGCCGAGGCGGAAGGCCAGCTTCCTTGAGCTTCCTTGGACCTAGTGGGCTGCTGCCGCCGGCAGTAGCTACTCAAGAAGCAGCTCACGTTCCCTGGTGCCTGCTGCTTGCAGCCCAGGCTGACCCAGCCTTGCTTCAGAGAGCAACTGGAGGTTCACACGGGCTGCAGTGTTTGCCTGGCATCTGCCACGGCCTAACTGGAGGGGAGTGAGGGGCCTCCAGAGGTCATCACGGTAGCCCCCACTTCCAAGGGGCGTTTTCAGGCTGAGAAATAGCCACGGTCTGCCTCATGCTCACATGGCCCCTCCAGCATGGCTACTGCCCCGCCACTACTCGGGGCACACCATGGTACAGCCTTGGGAGACACCCTGGCTGGGGAGACAGACAGGCCTGTGTCCACAGTCCCTCTGCCACTTGGATGCTGTGTGACCCTGCACAAGTCACTTCATTTCTCTGAGCCTCCCAAATGAACCTCCCTATGTGTAAAATGGCAAGTGTAATAGTATCTCCTTGTTGGCCAGTTATGGGGATTAAAAGACCAACACACATCCAGCCTGACCAACATGATAAGACTCTGTTTCTACTAAAAATATAAAAATTAGCCAGGCATGGTGGCACGCCTGTAATCCCAGCTACTTGAGAGGCTGAGGCAGGAGAATCGCTTGAACCGGGGAGGCAGAGGTTGCAGTGAGTGGAGGTTGCGCCACTGGACTCCAGCCTGGGTGACAGAGAGAGTCTCTCTCTCTCTCTCTCTCACACACACACACACACACACACACACGACAAACACACAGTATTCCTGGCACACAGACTGGTTGATCAATGATGTCAGGATGGCCATGCTTTTTACTATGTGATCTTGCACAAGTGACCCAAACCTCGCTTTCCAAATCTGACCAGTGAGAATAATTATACCCCTGTCTTGGAGGATGGTAAAAGCAGGAAATGAGTAGCCCATGCTGCTGAATCCATTTTCATTTTACTGCTTTCCTCTCCTTGAACAAGTAACATGATAACAATAATAATAACAATAAGTTTGTAATCAGCCTGGGCCACACAGTGAGACCCCCTATCTCTACAAAAAATAAGAAAATTAGCCAGGCGTGGTGGTGCACATCTGTGGTCCCAGCTACTCGGGAGGCTGACGTGGGAGGATAGCTTGAACCCAGGAGTTTGAGGCTGCAGTGAGCTATGATTGTGCCACTGCACTCCAGCCTAGGCAAACAGGGTGAGACCCTGTCTCTAATTTTAAAAAATTCAAAAAAACAATAACAATGATGGCCAACATTTTGGAGCACTTATATTGATTTAGGCTTGTGTTATCCAATAAGTATTCATTGTGGCTCTTTAAATTAAAATGAAAATTGGCTGGGTGCAGTGACTCACGCCTGTAATCCCAGCACTTTGGGAGGCTTAGGCAGGCGGATCACCTGAGGTCAGCAGTTTGAGACCAGCCTGGGCAACATGGTGAAACCCTGTCTTTACTAAAAATACAAAAATTAGCTGGGCGTGGTGATGGGTGCCTGTAGTTCCAGCTACTTGGGAGGCTGAGGCAGGAGAATCGTTTGAATCTGGGAGGTGGAGGTTGTAGTGAGCTGAGATTGCACTACTGCACTCCAGCCTGGGTGACAGAGTGAGACTCTGTCTTAAAAAAAAGAAAATTAAAATGAAGTAAAATGAAATGTACAATTCCTCCACCACACAAAGCACATTTCAGGTGCTCAAAAGCCACATGTGGCCAGTGCTGGTGAAACCAGCAGGTCTCAAATTTAATATACACAGGAGTCACCTGGGAATCGGGTTAAATGCAGATTCAGGTTTGGGAGATCTGTAGTGAAGCCCAAGACTCTACATTCCTGAGGCTGTTCCAAGGTCTGCAGACCACACTTTGAGTAGTGCCCGTCTGGAACTGGGCTGCTCAGTATGGTGGTCAGTACCCACCCATAGCCACTGGGCAGTTGAAATGAAGTGAGTCCAAATTGAAATGTATGGGAAGAATAAAATACACACTGGATTTCAAAGGCTTGGTACAAAAAAACAGTAAAATATCTTATTAATACCTTTAAAAAATTGAGTACACATTAAAACACTATTTTTAGATAGAGTGGGTTGAAGAAAATTTATTAAACATGTAATTTCACCTGTTTCTTTGTACTTTTTAATATGGCAGTAGAAAATTTTAAATTACCTATGTGTGACTCACATATTTCTATTGGGCACCATGAATCTAGACCTAGTCTGCATGCTAATTATGGATTCATGTCACAGTCAGATGTATACAGTCTTTTTCTTTTTTTTTTCAGACGTTCTGTTGCCCAGGCTGGAGGGTGGTGGTGCGATCTTGGCTCGCTGCAACCTCCGCCTCCCAGGTTCAAGACATTCTTGTGCCTCAGCCTCCCAAGTAGCTGGGATTACAGGCCTGCACCACCATGCCCGGTTAATTTTGGTATTTGTTTTTTTCAGTAGAGAAAAGGTTTCACTATGTTGGCCAGGCTGGTCTCGAACTCCTGACCTCAAGTGATCCGCCCACCTTGGCCTCCCAAAGTGTTGGGATTACAGGC
Organism: Homo sapiens; assembly: GCF_000001405.40. Lineage (NCBI taxonomy): Eukaryota > Metazoa > Chordata > Mammalia > Primates > Hominidae > Homo > Homo sapiens. The sequence continues at coordinate 113,688,114 of NC_000012.12, forward strand.
GTGAGCCACCAGGCCCTGGCCAGATGTGTATAGTCTTAAGGAATGCATTTTCACCTTTGCCCTTCCTGTTTTTTTTTTTTTCTTCCCCGGCTCCTGAGTTGTTTCTTGGGCATTTTTCACTCCAACTAGAGGGTAAATTTTTGGCAGGAGGGTCTGTGCCAGCCGGCCCCCTTGATCCACCATAGCACAGAATATGATGGTGCTCCATTTATATGAGCCTGTCCAGCAGCACCTGATGCTCCTGAAGAAACAGGATCTTTTTATTCCCTCTTGGAACTCCCCTTTCCCCTATGCTTGGGCCACGTGTCTTGAAGGGGGCTCACCTTCCTGAGCTCGGTGATTGGTTATGTGATCCAGGTCTGGCTAATCAGACCATTCCATTCCATCCTCAGATTATTGATTGGTTAGGTGACAACCACATGACCGAGCCTGGCCAATGAGAGGTAGTCCTTGAACTTTGATGGAATTAGCAGGAGAGTTGGGCTGGACCTGAAGGATATAAAAGACATAAACCAGGAGGTACTGGGCCTCCCTGTGGAGGGAGTCTGAGGATGAAGCCTACTGAGGAGAAGAGAGCTGGGGTGAGGTGGAACGAGACGAGTGCCTGACAATAGCTGAGCTCTGGATCCAGCCTTCCAGATCATCTGCCATCATCTGGCTTTTTCAGGGTGTGGAAGACAGATCAAGTCTAAAGTCTTAGTTGAAACTGCTAAGAAGAAGAGATCCTCTGTCAATCTTTTCATTTAATGGGAAAACACCAGGCAGTGCGAAGTGTCTCTATCTCTGGACATTTGTGGTATATGAGGTACAGGCTATTTTCCAAAAATGGCGATAGCCATATTTCCGATCCCATGTGTTTTCCCAGAACCTCACCACTTCCCAAGTAAGAGATGGAGTCTATTTCCCTTCCCTTTAAACCTGTGTAACTTTGTGATGACTTCAATGAACAGAATGAGGCAGAAATGACACTGCACGATTTTTAAGGCTAGGTCCTAATAGTTAATAGGGCTTCCATCTGCTCTCTCTCTCTCTGTCTCACACTCTCTCTCTTTCTCAGGACACTTGCCCTTGGAACCGAGCCGCCTTGTTGTGAGGAAGCCCAGTCCACGTGGAACGGCATATGTAGGTGTGCTGGCCGACAATCCAGTTGAGGTCCCAGGCAGCAGCCGGCATTGGCCACCAGACAGGTGAATGACATGAGTGAACTGTCCTTCAGGTGACTCTAGCCCAGCCTTTGAGTCTTGAAGCTGATGCCAGTGAAACAGAGACAGGCCGTCCTTACCAAGCTCTGTCCAAATTGCATATTCATGAGCAAAATAAGTGGTGCCATTGTTTCAAGCCACTGTGTTTGACCAATAGATGTCTGTTATGAAGCAATAGATGAGCCAAACAGGCATCCCCTATGCCGAGTGCAACCAGATTTTTGCTATTTTATTGTGTCTTTTCTGAATAAGGAAGGGTGGAGGCTCCCTGGCATAGCTTTTGTTTTCACCACCTGCTATGCACAGTATTTCTTGTGTTTTAGTTTATTCCATCAGGGTCCTTCCTATTGGAACCCCCAAAGACCCCGTGAGTTGATGACGGGTGGGGCCGATTGCCTCCATTTCACAGATGAGAAAACAGAGGCTCAGAAAGCTACAGAGTCTTGCCCAGGGTGAGTCAGTGGGTGAAGGCGAGGGGGGGGGGGGTCTGGAAGCCAGATTACTATAGCCTTCCATGGGGGCTCTGCCAACTAGACCTCGTGAATGGGTCTGGAGGGGATAATGGGGGTCAGAGAATTCTTTTTTTTAAATTGAGGTGACATTACATAACAAAAGTAACAATTTTAAAGTGAACAATTCAGTGGCATCTAGTCATTCTCTGTTCCTCCTTTCCCCCAGCCCTTGGCAGCCACGGATCTGCTTTCTGCCCCCTGTGAATTTGCCTATTCTGGGTATTTTATAGAAATGGAATCGTATAATATGTGACCTTTGTGTCTGGCCTCTTTCACTTATGATGTTTTCAAGGTTCATCCTCATTGTATCATGTATCAGAACTTCATTCCTTTTCATAGCTGAATAATATTCCATAGTGTGGCTAGACCACATTTTGTTTAATCCATTCAACCGTGAATGGATACCTAGGCTGTTTCCATCTTTTGGCTAGTGTGAGCAGTGCTGCTATTAACATGCGTGTGCATGTACTTGAGCACGTGTTATCAATTTTTTTTTGTGTACATAGCTAGGAGTGGAGGTGCTGGGTCATATGGTGACTCTATGTTTAACTTTTTGGGGAGCCACTAAACTGTTTTCTGCAAGAGAGCGGATTCCCTCCTAGCTTCATGACCACAGTGAGTGAGCCAGTCTGAGCAATAAATATATTTGGTCAAAAGGGAAAGAGAAGAAAGAAAGTGTGAAAACCATATTGTATTCATTCATTCAACAATTACTTGTTGAACTTGATTCAACAGTGGGTGCTAAGGAAGGACTAAGAAAGAAAAATTTTCTGCCATCGTTGAGATGTGAGATGATGTTCTAGTTGCAGAGAGAGAGACAGACAATTTCAGAGTCACAGGTGCTATGAGGAGAATAAAGTGAGATTCCATGACAAATAGGGATTGGAGATGCTATTTTTGAGGTTGTCAGTGAAGGACTGTCTTGGAGGTGACATTTAAGCTGAGACCTGAAGGGTGAGATGGAGCCGGCTATGAAGGCAGAGAGGATGGAACAAGAACAAAGGCCTGAGGCTGAGAGTCCTTAGCTTTGCTTGGTAGGGTCAAGTTCTAGCTCCAGTATTAATTCCCCATGGGAGAACCTCAGTTTCCTCACCTTGAAAATGGGCAGACTGAATATGGAATCAACCTAAGGGCCCATCAATAGATGAATGGATAAAGAAAATGTGGTGGATATATACACAATGGAATATTAGCCATGAAAAAGGATAAAATCCTGCCATTTGCAGCAACATGGATGGAGCTGGAGGTCATCATGTTTAAGTGAAACAAGCCAAGCTCACAAAGACAAGTATTGCATGCCCTCACACATATGTAGGCTAAAAAAAAGTGGATCTCATGAAGATGGTAGATTGGAGGTTACCGGAGGCTGGGAAGGGTGAGGAAGGGAGGATGAAGAGAGCTTGATTAATGGGTACAAATACATACTTAGATGGCAGCAATAAGACCCAGTGGCCAATAGAGCTGTAGCGTGGCTATCATTAACATTAATTGATTGTACATTTCAAAATAGCTAGAAAAGAAGAATTCGAATGTTCTTGGAGTAAAGAAAAGATAAATATTTAAGGTGGTGGATATCCCAGTTACCCTGATTTGATTATACACATGTATCAAATGATCAAACATGTACTGTAAAATATGTACAGTTATTATATACCAGTAAAATTAAAAATTGTTAAAACGTTGGCATCATATCCAAAATCGACCCTACCTCCCTGGATGGGGTGGAGATGATAATGCAGAGGAGATGACTGAGGCTCAGAGAAGTGAAGATACTTTCTCAAAATCACAATTCAGTGAGAGGAGGGGCCAGGATTTGAACCCTGAGCTGTTGGGAATGTTCGGGATTAACCTAGTCTTGCCATTGGGTGTGTGTTGGGGTGGGGGTCAGGGGCTGGTACAGCTATGGGTTTGGGGAAACAGCCCCTGGGATGCTCCATGCTGTAAAGGAACACCACCTTCCTCCCTGTGAGGACATGGTGTGAGGGCATTGTCTTCCTGCTGTCCAAGTGAGGAAGATGGAGATTGTGAGGTTTGCCAAACAGTGAGCCAACGGTGGAGCCAAGTTCTCTTGGCTTAGGTCATAATGTCAGCTTCCAGCTACCCAGGTCTTAGGAGGTACTTGGTGCTGTTCTGAGCATTCTGGTATGCTCCGTTACTTCTGACACTCTCTGGGAGAGGTACCGTGATTATCCTCATCTTCCAGATGAGATGACTGAGGCCTGGAGAAGTGAAGACACTTTCTCCAAGTCACAGCTTGGTGAGGGGAGGGGCCAGGATTTGAACCCAGGCCCGACTGCCTTTATAGCCTGTGTTCTGAGTCACGGGCTAAGTGCTGTACTGCCTCCCATGGCCTCAACCGCCGGCTGGGCTCCAGGGATGCCATGGTTAGAGGAGGGGCTGCAATCCCCAGAAAAGGGAGTGGCTCAGGAGCTTGTACTCACCCCAGCATGCGCACCCATGCGCCGCACACACTCCGACACATGCACCCTCCAGCTCAAATAGGTGGACGTGCTTGGGAAAACCATGGAGTAAGTGAGCCCCACAGAGAGGGACCGTGAAATCCCTGTTGCCGCCGGGGCCACCAGAATGGTTCAGACACAGAATTCTTCTCTCTCACTTGCTCTGTGTGTCTCATTCTCTGCAAAAAGCGTCTTCACCAAGAGATGCGTTGGAAAAGGAAAGAAATGTGTTCAAGTATGTTGTCATGGCACTGGGGCAGAGAAGATACAGGAAGGTCATGTGTGTGTGTGTTCAACTGTGGGCATACGTGCAAGTGTGCAAGGTGTGGGGGTTGTGCAAGCGTGTTAGTGGTTGGTGTGTGAATGAGTGTGTGTGTGAGTGGAGAGTGTGTCCTGGTATATGTATTGTGTGCGCATGAGGGTGTAGGTGGGTGCCTAAGTGTGTATGTGAGTGTGTATACATTCTAGCATGAATGCTGTGAGCATGTGTGAATGGTGTGTGTGTGTGTGGGACAAGGCGGGGGAGACAGACCTGGCACTGGGGGCAGGGGACAGAGGCTCCACAGGCTCTTTCCCACATGACAGGGGGACTCTAATTCCCAGGGAGACCCCTGCGCTTGCTTTGGAGGAGGTGAACAAAACTGCAGCCTCTCTTTCCAGAGCCCCTCAATCTCGTGACCTCTTTCTTCCTGGCCCCTTCATTCCTAGCCTGGGTTCCGTCTCTCTGAGAGAGTTCTTCCAGCTGATCTGATGGAGTGGCCCACGGAAATAGTAACAGTATTAACAGTGGACACCCAGGAATCTCAGTGCCAGGCACTGTTCTAAGCGTTGTATTCTGCTCCCAGTGACCCTAACAGGTAGGCACTAGTGTCGTCCCCATTTTACAGACAAGGAAGCTGAGCCTATTTCAGGACAGGGTCGTTGGATTTCTTAACATAGGGGCAGGCAAACTTTTTTCTGAGGGGACGGATAGTAAATGTTTTAGGTTTTGTGGCCATAGGGTGGGTCTTTTTCGCAGCTCCTACACTCTGCAGTAGTAGCAACAATGTAGCCATAGAGATAAACGAACAGGCGCATGCACGTGGGTTGTAGTGTACTGACTCCGCCTTAACCTGCAAGAGTGGTAAATGGTGGGATTTTAGGCACCACAGTAGATATGTTCGTGGGAGATATATTCAGTCATTTGATCACTAAGTCATTTATTGCATGCTGTGTGCCTGGCTCTGTGCTAGCAATAGAGAGAAAACTGTGGACAAGACAGACCCCGTTTCTACCCCCAGGGCTTGCCAACAAATAGATGGGGTGTCCTGGGGTGGCATAACCTCCAGGTACAAGCACTTTATCCTATGTTGTGAGCAGGGAAGGCTTCCTGGGGGAGGTGACTTCAAAACTGGTACCCAAAGGATAAGTGGTTGGGGGAGACAGTGGGGCTGGTATGGGGTTACAGAAAGTCTCCCCGACAGTAAGAACAGGGGGAAAGGCCAGAGGTCAGACAGGGCTGATGGGAAGTGCATCTGACAGGATATTTGGGATGTGGGTGGGGCCTTGTAGTCTCCGGTGTGGATTGTATTGGGAGGGAATGGGGAGCCATGGAGGGATTAAGCGGGTGAGCAGCCACTTCCCTGGCTTCTGAGAGAGGCTTCTCTGGCTTTCATCCCCAGGCCCTATTCTCAGCCGGTACATAGAACTTGACCGTTTAGCTGCTGGCTGAAAGCAGGGACCCTCCCTGTTTTCCGCCCTGCCGCATCTTGTATCTAACGTTTCCTGGCAAAGGCTAAGCCTTCCTGCACAACAGCAGCTATTCTTAATAATCTTCACGTATTTATGTGCCCATGTAGCATCTGTCCCTCTCCTGCACAAGAATGTCAGCTCCAGGAGGGCAAGGGTGTTGTCTGTTTTGTTCACTTCTGTATCTCTAGTGTCTAGCACAGCTCTGTGCACAGACTAGGTTGTCAGTTAATATTTATTGAACCTGAGATTTTATGTCCTTGGCTGAATCCTGGCTGATCATGGGGTGAGAGCCTTTGGCCTGTCCCCTTAAGAGCCTCATTTTCCCTTCCCCTCCTCTTGTCCCAGAAGTTAATTAAGTGCTCTGCCTCTGGAGGGTGAATCCCATTATCAGCTGCACCCCCCCGACCCCAACATCAGCTGTGTGTTTACTTGTTTATGGTGCGTCACCTTCCACCCCCAATTAAGCTCTGGGACCTATCGTCTTATGCGCTGCTGCATCCCCCACAGCCAACACATAGTAGGTGCTCAATTAGCTTATATCGAATGAATGACTTGCCATCTCCCTTAATACACGCCTTTGCAAGGAAGAGAAGAAAGATTGGGAAACTGTGATGGGAAGGGTGATCTGGCAAGTCCGCAAAGCAAGCTAGAGCTGGATTATTTGCCTGGAAGGGGGATGGTGTGGAAGGAAGGAAGCACGCCATGCCCCTCCTGCAGGGGTCACGGACACAAGCCTGTTGAGAGACAGGGGCAGGGACACTGTGGCGTTTGGCTTTCCTTCTTCAGGTGCAGTGAATCGTGTTTGAGAGATGAAGCCATGCAGGGAGGCTTGCTTTCTGGCTGAGACCTTTAAAGCCAGCAGCCTCTGAGCTCATCCAGGGTACGTTCTTCAGCGTTTCCGATGTCCTTGGCTCAGTCGGGCCATCTTGGTGGCAGCTGCCCGGAGCTGGAGGAGAACAGGCCTCAATGTCTCCTATTATTACTGGAACGTCAAGTACCCCTGAAGTGGAGGGCAAGGCTGGCCCTGTCTGCCAGCGACAGGGCGCGGTAACTCAGCCACCTGGGACCCCAGCTGCTCAGGCCTGAGGGTGAGGTGCTGACGTCCTCCACCTCCCTTCCTGATGGGCACAGCCGCCTGGCCTGGTTCACCCGGCTCTCTTTACCTCCCCCTCCCTGGCCATCTCTTCTTCCTGCTTGCCAATGGCCTCATTATCCCAAAGGGTGAGCTGTGTGTCCTCGCTGGCAATGGTCTTTGTGACCCAGGCCTCCTCCAGCCCCCAGACCTCCCAAGTATCCCCGTCTTGGCTGCAATGAGCTTCCACAGAGGTCAGCCAAGCCCAAGCATTTTCTGAGACAGACCTGGGTCAAACCTGTGCCTTGTGACTCTGGGCAAGTGACCTTCCCTCTCATCTGTCGTAGGGGCTTGATTTTCAGTGACAATGTTCTGGGGTCGTTTTGCAGGTTGTTCTAGGTCGGGCCCCTCAGAAGCAAAGCCTGGGACATGGATGGGGTGTATAGGATTTATCTGGGGAGTGGGCTTGAAAGGAAAACCTCAAAAGGAGGGGAGACACAGGATAGGACCCGGGGAGGGGCTGAGCAAGGGTGTGGTCCCTGCTTTGGGCCTAATCCCACAGGGGCTCTGGAGCATAAATTGAGCTTGAAGTCATCCCACCTTAGCAAGGGGGCCAGGTGTGAGTCTATGTTGATGGCTACTCAGGGAGGGGTGGGGGTGTAAACACCCAGGCATCGGCTCACATCAGCAGAAGGCAAATCTCTAAGAAGGGGGCAACTCCAGCAGCCACGGGGATCTGACAGCCCCAACAACATCTACTACGAGGATGAAATGAGACGATTCACAGTGCTGGAAAGCACCCGACCACCCCGAGGGCAGCGCCCTCATGCTAGTAGTGTATTCTCATGAAGCAGGTTTTGCCTTCAGCCCAGAAAGACAGCAGAGCCTGGTGGGTGAACCCTTGCTTCCATCTCCAGCCACCCTCCTCATCCCTCATCCCATGTCCCTTGAGATGTCCAGGTTACCTCCCGGGGTCGAGGAGCAGAGCAGATGGCCCTGTGCCTTCAGAGTCACGTGCTCATGACTGGCATTCCAGCCCTTAGGATGATGTGGGGACACCCTACATCCCTCCACCCATGGCCCCACGGGCTGCTCTGTAATGATCCCCATGTCTTGGCATGTGTCCTTCATTACAGCCCCCTGGATGGAGCATGGCTCCCCACAGCCATCCTGGACCCTGCAGCTCTGGGCCAAGACAACTGTCCAAGATGGGGCTGCCTTTATTGGATAATTATTCCAGCGGGAAATCTGTGGGAAGTTTCCGGTGACCTGGCTGTGAGTTAGGAGGTTAAGGTAAATGTGATCCTGTGGGAAAATAAAATCCCTGGATTCCCTCATCTCTTTTTTTGGGCCTTCCTCACCCCCTCAGGTGGGACTGCAGGTATGTAGGCACTGCAGATCCTAATCTCCCAAAGGCAAGTCTTTTGGAGCCTCTGTTTCCTCATCTGTAAAATGGGCATGTCAGCTTGCTGCCCAGTATATTCTGCTGCTGGCTATGGCCAAAGATGGGTTGTGATGGCTGGAATGAAATCCTCCTTGGTACTATTGGGATTGCAGAGCACCCTGGTATACCTGGAGGCAAGAAATGTTCAAAGCTGAAGGGATTTGGAGAGCATCTAGTCTGCCCCCTTAATGATTTCTGGATTGGGAAACTACAGCCAGTGGGGACAGTGATTTGCTCACCTGGAGAGGGAGTGGCCATCCTGCTGGGAGGGAAGAACCTGGAAGTGGGAAGTAGGAATTTCAAGTTCCTCTCTTAACTCTGCTGTCAGGGAAGTTGGTTAACTTCTCTGGGCCTCCATTTACTCATCTGTCAAATGGCCCCAATAACAGAGAGGGAATGAGGTCATTGCCAAGTCTCTTCCAGCCTTGAAAATCGGATTATCTCACAGTGCCATGTACACCCTCTCAAAGTACCAGAGAAACAGGCAGGAGAGAAATCAGCCTACTTTTTTGGATGAAAAAAAACATACTAAGATCCAGAGGGTGTTTCTGAAGTTTTTTCAAGGCCTTATGGTTATTACAAAGCACTGGGACCCAAGAAATCCTGGGTTCAAACTCTTGCTCTGCCTTGATAATGACTGTGGAGTATTCAGTAGGTATCAGGCACTGGCCAAACACATGAATCCCAACAGCGCTCTGAGACGGGTCTTATCTTCATTATTTTGGGGAAGAAATTGAAGCTCAGAGAGGTAGAGTGACTTTCCCCCCATCACACAGCTAGTGAACAGAGAAGGCTGTATTAGAAACTGCGTTTATCTGATGCCACATCTGTGCTTGGAGCCACCTCCCTGCAGCTCAGTGACAGTCATCAATAATCATGTGATTGCCTGGGATTGGGTCAGGAGGAAATGTCAGGTGCAGGGAGGGGCTCAGCTTATTTCTGTGGGGTCTCTTTTACGGTTCAGCGTGCCTGCCCATCAGCTGGTGCTGCGACGAAGCCTTCACTCCTGCAGCTTTGCTTGGAGAGTGGCCCTTAGATGCTTGGAGCTGCCTTCCTAGAAGTGGCTTGGAGTTGCATCTGCCTCCCCCAAATGCCTTGGGGGCAACCTATAGCCAATGACAGACTCATGTCAGGGTACAGAAGTTCTGTTCCCTTGCCTTGAAGTGGGACAGACTCTGAAGTACAATAGAAACTCCAGAGCTTTCTGCGGGATCAGGCTGGGTCAAGACCTCACCTGCAACCCCATCCTTGCATAGCTTCTCTGCCTGCCCTGTCCCCATCCCTCGGTCCCTTCTAGGTGTCACCCGAGAGCCTTCTCAATAAATCACTTGCATAAGAATTCCCTTCACAGGCTTTGCTTCTAAAGAACCTGCCGAAAGTTCCCTAAGACAGGAACTTGAGACAAACTCTTGGAAATGAACTGACCATGTAACCATAAATTGGGTCTAATTACCCTGTTTCGGCCAAGCATTTCAACTGTCTTCTCAAGAGGCCAAGAAAATGTCTTGGAGATTCAGAAACAGTAGTCAGATGTTACTGACCATTGCTATTAGGTCTATGCCAGGACCTGGCATACAGTAAGGTGTTTAATAAATATTTGCTGAGTGAAAGGCCTGAATGAGTAAACATTTCTGGTGCTGGGGAGGTGGGGGTTTCTGGAAAGAGAGGATGTAAAACAGCCTTCCTGGGTCAGATCCCCAGGAAACACGCAGGCTCAGGGACCAGCCTGGGCACATTGAAATGCGGGGTCAGGTGCTCAGATATTCATAGCTCCATCAGAGGCTTAGCCTAAGAGGCTGCAAGCCCCAGAGGAGCGACAGACCCGGGAGGGAGTCGTGATCACAGCAAAGATTACAAGAGCTTGTTAAACAGAAATCCCTCCTGGCAGATGGTCAGCTGGCTCCCAGACGTGGAAAGGAAAGCCCTTTCCTATTGGGAGTTCCAGAAGCTTTGAAACCAGGGGAGGACATTATGCCTTCGTGAGTTAACAAAACAACAATAATGATGATGATAAAAATGACAAAGCAATTATCTGATAGTTACTATATCCAGGACTTGGTATGTAGGATGTTGTTTAAGCCTCCCAATAACCCCTGCAAGATACACACTATCACTCCCATTTTACAGACGAAGAAACTGAGGCTCCGTGAATGACAATGACGTGCCCAAGGTCACACTGCCAACAGGCAGTACTTGAACCCAAGTAGGATGATGGCAAAGCCTCGGCACCATGGCAAGTGCTGATTTAAGAGGATAGTAGGGAAAGGGCTGGGCACAACTGAGGCATAAAAATTATAAAAATGGATGGTTAGCAGGGGGTGGGAAGGGTAGTGGGGGGTCAGGGGGAGGTGGGGATGGTTAATGGATAAAAAAAAAAATAGAAAGAATGAATAAGACCTAGTATTTGATAGCACAATAAGGTGTCTATAGTCAATAATAATTTAATTATGTTTTTGTTTGTTTGTTTTTGAGACAGAGTCTCTCTCTGTCGCCCAGGCTGGAGTGCAGTGGTGCGATCTCGGCTCACTGCAACCTCTGCCTCCTGGGTTCAAGCGATTCTCCTGCCTCAGCCTCCCGAGTAACTGGGACTACAGGCGTGTACCAGCATGCCCAGGTAATTTTTTGTATTTTTAGTAGAGATGGGATTTCACCATGTTGTCCAGGCTGGTCTTGAACTGACCTCAAGTTATCCACCTGCCTCGGCCTCCCAAAGTGCTGGGAGTACAGGTGTGAGCCATCGTGCCTGGCCTAATTGTACATTTTAAAATAACTAAAAGAGTATAACTGGATTGTTTATAACACAAAGGATAAATGCTTGAGGGGACAGATACCTCATTCTCCATGATGTGATTACTACGCATTGCATGCCTGTGTCAAAATATCTCATGTATGCCATAAATGTAGACACCTATTGTGTACCCACAACAATTAAGAATTTAAAAAATTTATAAAAAATTACAAAAATGTTGTAAACTCATGGAATATCTCTGTATGGATACAGAAGAGACCCATAGCTGTAGTTGCCATGAGTTGTACATGGAGGGGAGATTTTTATTATAAACCTTTCCTATTTGAATATTGAAGCATGGTGGGCTAGATCACAAAATTGGCCCCCATGATGCATCCCTGTCCACGTTTATACCCATCCTTTGCTGCTGATTTTGTGGTCCTTACCCATTCTGACTCTGGGCTCAGGGATGCAACTGGCTTTGACCAATGGGATATTAGTAAAAGTAACACAGGCAGAAGCCTGCAAATGGCTTGTGCAATTGGGCTCGCTCTGATGCTGCCCTTCTGCAGGGCCATGAGGACACACTCAGGCTTACCTGCTGGGGGATGAAGGCTTGTGCAGCACAGCTAAGCTGCCCTCATCAACCCAGTGGAGGCCATCCCAGATCAGCCATCAGCCTGCTGACTGAGACACATAAATGAGCCCAGGCAAGATCAGCAGAGCTGCCCGGCCTGCTGATATGGTTTTGCTGTGTCCCCACCCAAATCTCATCTTGAATTGCAGTTCCCATAATCCCTACATGTCATGAGGGACCTGGTGGGAGGTAACTGAATCATGGGGGTGGGTTTTCCTGTGCCGTTCTCATGATAGTCAATAAGAGTCACTAGAACTGATGGTTTTATAAAAAGGTAGTTCCCCTGCACTGCCTGCTGCCATGTAAGACGTGCCTTTGCTCTTCTGTTGCCTTCTGCCATGATTTTGAGGCCTCCTCAGCCATGTGGAACTGTGAGTCCATGAAACCTCTTTTTCTTTATAAATTACCCAGTCTTGGGTATGTCTTTATCAGCAGCATGAGAACAGACTAATACACCTGCTAACCACAATGGAAGTTTTGTTTTGTTTTAGAGACAGGGTTTCATCTTGTTACCCAGGCTGGCGTGCAGTGGTGCAATCATAGCTCACTGCAGCCTCGAACTCCTGGGCTCCAGTGATTCTCCCACCTCAGCCTCTCCAGTTGCTTGGACTACAGGCACACACCACCATACCCAGCTATTTTATTTTTTGTAGAGATAGGGTCTCAGTATGTGGCCCAGGCCAGTCTTGAATGCTTGGTCTCAAGTTATCCTCCCGCCTTGGCTTCCCAAAGTGCTGGGATTACAGACATGAGCCACTGCACTTGGCAGGTTTTGTGATTGTTTGTTACAGAGCATTATTATGGCTATAGATAGCTAACATAAGTAGTAAGGCATTGCGCCTTCCAAGATGAAAAAAAACAAAACAAAAAAACACGTAAAGTTTAAGTTTATAAGATAGTTTCTACTCTGTAGGAGATCCTGAAATCTGGAGGCTCTCCTGCTCCCTGCAAATGTCTTTTCCATTCTGACTTTGGTGCTTTCAGTGAAGCCATTTCTTCAAAATCAAATTCACTCAACATTTCTCCAGACCCCACCTTCTCCAGAAAGCCCTCCAAACCTCCACAGTCCTCAGCCTGGCTGCCAGGCTGATTTCACTAACGTTCAGCATTATTACAAAGAGCAGCTCCTGTGCAGTCAGTGCTGACCATGGGCCAGGCACTGGGCAAGCCCCGTCTCACTGAGTCATCACTACACCCTGTGAGGGAGGCATGCCTAGCGTTTTCCTCCAGTTGCAAATTAGAGACCGAGACCAAGAGGGAGTGAGTCTGTTGCCCAAGGTCTCACAGCAAGCGAATCCCAGAGGCAAGATTCAACCATGCAGCTGCCCAGCTGTGCTCCTCACACCTGCCTAATGGCTTTCTCCCCTCCAGGCTGGAGGGAGCTGTCCTTTGATTAGATCTGCATTGAGGGCAGGGAGGCTAACACTGTCATTGGATCAACCTGGGGTTGAAAAGTGCATTTTCCCTTCTTGTCCTCAGAACAGCCCTATGAGGCAGGGAAACAGGAAAAATGAAGACCATCTTTGAGGAATAAACTGACTTGCCTAAGGTCACATGGTGAGTCACAGAGCGGAGACTAGAATTTGGGAGTCTCTTCTTTCCCTCTCTGTCTAAGACTCCTCAATTATATATATATATACCATATATATATATACACACCATATATATATACACCATATATATATATACCATATATATATATACCATATATATATCATATATATATCATATATATATCATATATATACACCATATATATATACACCATATATATATACCATATATATATACCATATATATATACACCATATATATACCATATATATATACCATATATATACCATATATATATACCATATATATATACACCATATATATATATACACCATATATATATATACACCATATATATATACCATATATATATACCATACAGCGTGAAGGTCTTTTTATGTGTCCACCCCTCCTGCCTCTGTGGCTGTGCTCAACATTTCCTCTTTCATAGTGTACCTTTCACTGCAGAGCAGACAAGCAGAAATGTGAGGGCAAGCATGCTGGGGACGCTGGGTTATAAGCTCCTTCCTTCTTCCTGCTTCCTACTTTCTCCCTCCCTTCCTTCCTTCCTTCCTTTCTTTCTTCCTTCCTTCCTTCATCCTTCTCTTCTTTCCCTCCTTTTCTTCCTTCCTTCTTCCCTCCCTTTCTCCTTCCCTTTTCTCTCCCTCCCTCCCTCCCTCCCTCCCTCCCTCCCTTCCTTCCTTCCTTCCTTCCTTCCTTCCTTCCTTCCTCTCTCCCTTCCTCCCTCCCTCCTTTCCTTTTTTCCTTCCTTCCCTCCATCCTTCCTCCCTCCTTCTCTCCCCCTTCCTTCCATCTTTCCTCCCTTCCTTCCTTCCTTCCTTCCTTCATTCCTTCCTTCATTCCTTCCATTTTTCCCCTCTCTTCCTCCTTCCTTTCTTCCTTTCAAAATTCATTCTGCAAATATTCACTGTGGACCCACTCTCTGCTAGGTCCTCTGCCTGACTCTGGAGATGCAATGGGAATGAAACAGGCGTGGACCTTGGCCTTGATCTCGTGAAGCGGCAGGGAAGATGGGACTTAAGCAATTGTATAAATAATTAACTCATTGCAGTTGGAGGACAGGTAGTGAATAGCAAGAACTGTGTCAGACTTGAGTTGGAATCTGAGCTCTGCATTTTACCCAGCTGGGTTGCCCCCAGTCGGTTACCTAATCTCTCTGTGTCTTGCTTTCCTCATTTGGGGATTAATGGCCATCTTTCAGGGTGGTTGTGAGAGTTAAAGCAAGCTGTTGATCTACAGCATTGAGCATGGAGCCTGGCGCAGGGTAGGCGCTGTGACAGCAGCTGTCTTCATCTTTGCTGCTATTGTTTCTGCTGCTGGATCCTTGCTACCCTTGACCCAGAAGGTCCCACCTGCATGACCATCTTATCTGCGAGGGGAGGTGGCTTCATTCACCCTTCTCTAACCCTCTGAATTATAATCCATCTTTAATGCCTCTAGAGGAAGGAGCTTTGAACAGAAACCTGCTCCAACCACTCACTGCGGTCCACCCAGCGAATGCTTGCCTTTCAAAGGCATGACGGGGCCGCCAAATCCGCCCCAGGGACCTAACGCGATTGTCTTGCTTCTGTAACTCTGCTGGGAAGCTGAGCTTGGGGTTTCTGGCTGGGCTTCCAGGGGCTCCCAGAGCTGGTGCGGAACCGCAAGGGAGGCTTATGGGAAACCATCAGGCCAAGGAACCTAGCCTGGGAGGGACAGAGCCAGGGTGGAGGAGCCCATGTCAAACTGAGCACCCACGATGTGCTAGGCAAGAGTCCCTCTTCTGCTTGGCCCATGAAAAGCACTTTCCCCAGTGCTTATGGGGGTCAGGCAGACATAGTCACCTGTGATGACAAGAACATGGTGCAGGGAGTCCCAATATCCAAGTTAAAGCCTCCACTAAGTGCCCTTAGGACTAACACAATCTGTGTCTTAGCTTTTCACATCTATAAAATGTGTGTCTCTTTTATGAGGCAGTATAGTTTGGTGTTTAAGAGCTGAAGCTCTGGATCCATTGAAGGTCCTTGTGACCTTGGGCCAGTTGCTTACCCTCTCTGTGCCTCAGGCTCTGAGACTATAAAACATGGAGAGTAATACTATTTGATTCTGTTGCCTACTAGCTGGATGACCTCAAGCAAGTTGCTCCACCTCTCTCAACCTCAGTGTCCTCCTTCTGAATTGGGATCAATGAGAATTCTTACTTCACAGGGCTGTTGTGAGTATTGAATGGGATGATCCAAGCTGAGTGCTCCAAACCACATTTGGCATGGAATAATCATGTTAGTGTTGATTGAACACCTGCTATTTTCATCCCCTTCATTCTTCCTTTTCTCCCTCTTTTCTTGTTTCTCTCCCTCCTGCCTCTTTCCCTCACTCCACAATGGCATACTGTACACCTCCCATGAGCCAGGCACTTTTCTAGGCACTGCCCATCTTCAGGATGACTTTAAGAACCAAATGTGCTTAATGGGGAAGTGCTTTGGCAATATCAAGGATAATCTGTCGTGGAAGAGAAGAGGTGATAAATTCACACTGTGGCTTGTGGTGACTTCTTTTTATGCTCACTCTCATCTAGGGTCATTAATTTAGAGCCTTGACTAGGATTTCTATCCTATGCAGCTGCAGTGACATTAATTTGATATTCGCTAACCTCAGTTACTTGTGTGTCACCGTCATAATGATTATTTGCCACAGCCACATAAAACTATACTTCAATATTTTGTTTTAAGTCACTCTTTTTAAGAAATTTAAACTGAATTTTTTTTTTTTTTTTTTGAGATGGAGTTTTGCTCTTGTTGCCCAGGCTGGAGTACAATGGCCTGATCTGGGCTCACTGCAGCCTCCACCTCCCTGGTTCAAGCGATTCTCCTGTCTCAGCCTCCCGAGTAGCTGGGATTATAGGCGCCCGCCACCATGCCTGGCTAATTTTTTGTATTTTTAGTAGAGACGGG
Source organism: Homo sapiens (assembly GCF_000001405.40). Classification (NCBI taxonomy): domain Eukaryota; kingdom Metazoa; phylum Chordata; class Mammalia; order Primates; family Hominidae; genus Homo; species Homo sapiens. The sequence continues at coordinate 113,704,404 of NC_000012.12, forward strand.
GTTTCACCATGTTGGCCAGGCTGGTCTCAAACTCCTGACCTCAGGTGATCCACCCGCTTCAGCCTCCCAAAGTGGTGGGATTATAAGTGTGAGCCACCACGCCCGGCCTAAACTGAATTTTAACCTAAACAATGCTATCCATGAAACCAAAAGTCTTGGTGAGCTGGCACACATTAAGCACTTAACTATTAAAGAAAATTTTAAAAGTTCATAGATGACCCCAAAGCATCTCCATTTGTATCATATTATATTAGAGAGCAGCTATACCAGACAATATCCTCCATTTGGCTAACTAGAAAATCGTTTGACTCATTGCTTCAAATTTTTCATATTTATCAAGTACTATCTCCTTTTTCCAAGCCTAGGGGTTTCTGTCATCTGCAATTATCATGATGTTAATCTGAAAGTCATTAACCTTGGTTACTTAGGTATTGCCAGCATAACAAACATTTGTATTCTTTTTGCCATAGCCACATGCCAAACATGAATGTGCTTGTGCTTGTCCTTTTATTTTTGGATCATGGTTTTTTCTTTTTCTTTTTTTTCTTTTTAAATTTAGCCTCAACTGAAGCAATTGTATCTATGAAATCAGAGGTTCAAGGAGCTGGTTATATATTTCTAGCATGCATTAAATATGTAGCTATTATGTAAAATAAAATGTCAACCAAACACATCTCCATGTGTGCCCCATTCTTAAGGTGGGCTGCTGTTCCAAGCATAACCCTGTTACCATTCAGCTGGTTAGGAAATTCTTTGATTCATTGCTTCATATTCACCAAGCGTTACTCCTTTTGTCCAAGTCTTGAGATCCCATGAAAGCATAGACAGGTCAAAGCCATCGTCCTAGGTGACAGAGTGAATCCCAGAACCCAGGAGTCCTGGTCCCTGATTCTGCCTCGAGGCCACACAGGATGCCCAGCCCCATCCTGACCTATCTCCTGGCTCATTAAAGGCCTTGGGGCTTGGACCAGGTCTTTCATTTTTCCATCCTTCTCTCTTTCCTCTCTAGCACTCGAAGATACAAAAAGGGTTAACATCCATCTCCCACTCTTCTTGACACCTCCCACCCTGGGTTGCTGTGGGTAATCGCCAGCTTCCCTTGAGGAATGACCTTGCCCCCCACCGTGGGGGCTATCAAGAGACAGATATAAACACCTCAAAGTTCCCAGCTAGCTCTCTTAATTGGCACCTTTCTGTTCTGCTTTAAATTAATCAAAGCCAGTCCGATATTAATACTGTAGGGGGAATTAAAATCATGCAACGCATTAAAGATGTAATTTAAAATTAATAACTCATAATTATTTATCATGGCGTATCAGTGGAGCTATGAATTTTCCCTTCTAACTCAGCGCACAGTCTCCTGCCTTTGCTTTTAATAGCATTTGGACCATTACTGTGCCCAACCTTGGTTCCCGCAGACACCCAACCTAAGAGACGTAATTCACTTAATTTAATTTTGGGGGGGCTTAATTGTGGTAAATCACTACTTAAGAAAAGACATCTATTTGAAAGGACAAATTGGGATAATTTAATAAAAGCTGGAGTGAGGAAGCCCAAAGACTTAATGATGCGCTGTGGGTTTTGACCAGAGAAGCCCCTACTCTTCAACTCATTCACTGAGAGTTGCTAGGCTCGGTTTCCAAGTCTTTAAGACAATGGCAGCATTCAAAAGGTTTCACTAACTAAGGAAATGACCCACCTGTCCATCAATATGGGATTGAGCAAAAAAACTGTGATGGATCCACCCAGTGGAACACTATGCAGGCATATAAAAGAATGACAGGTCACATGTGTGGATATAGAAGAATCAGCAGGATATATTAAATTTTAAAAATGCGGCTGAGCATGGTGGCTCATGCCGGTAATCCAAGCACTTTGGGAGGCCAAGGTGGGTAGATCACGAGGTCAGGAATTCGAGACCAGCCTGGCCAACAGGGTGAAACCCCGTCTCTACTAAAAATACAAAAATGAGCCAGGTGCAGTGGTGGGCGCCTGTAATTCCAGCTGCTCAGGAGGCTGAGGCAGGTGAATCACTTGAACCTGGGAGGCGAAGTTTGCAGTGAGCTGAGATTGTGCCACTGCACCCTAGCCTGGGCAACAGAGTGAGACTCCATCTCAAAAAAAAAAAAAATGCTAGAAGAGTGTATAGCATGCTGTTATGACAAAAGGAAAATATATATACACACATATAATTACATATACAACATAGAATATCCTTGGAAAGAAACAGGAAACCTCTGGGGATGGGTTTAGGTAACTGGGGGACAGAGGAGGGAGGGAGAGTTGTCATGCTTTGTATACATTTGTATCTTTGAAATTTTGTACCACATGCAAGTATCAGCAATTCAAAAAGATTAGACAATTAAAATAATAATAGTAGGAAAGATTTGTCAACCTGGGTCTTGCCATATCTCATGTACCCTCACTCCTATTTCCACATATCCCTACTGATCATAATGATGGTTACCATGTGTCGAGTGTCCTCTCTGGAATGGTCACTGAGCTGGCTTCATCCCACGAGGTCCTTACATCAACCTGGTGAGGCAGGTCCCCAACATTTCATGATGAAGTTTCTAACATAAAGGCGAAAGGGTTTTTCAGTGAATACCCATCTATTTACCACCTAGGTTCTACCATTAATGTTTTTCAACACTTTCCTTATCCCAGACGGATTCATTTACCCATCCCTCTATCCAACTATCAGCCCATCTACTTTTCATACAATTCAAGGAAAGTTACAGACATCTGTACATTTCTTTCTAACTACTTGAGCACGTCTCTCTTTAATTGAAATGCAATATTTGGTTAGGGTTCCTTTTGAAAAGTAAAATTCACCAACTGCAAAGAGCGCAGACCTTAAGTGTACCATTTGCTGAGTTTTGACAAACACTTGCACTTGAACAATGCACATCCATATAATGATACAGAATTAATTTCCATCTCCCTAGAAAATACCCTAATTCCCCTTCCCGATAAATCCCCAAAGCCCTAGAGGCAACACTGTTACTACTTGTTTTTTTGTTTTTTTGTTTTTTTTTTTTACCACCACAGATTAGTTTGGTTATTGTAAAACTTCATATAAGTGGAAGTGCACAAATGGACCCTTTGTGTAAGGATTTCACTCAGCAGAAAACTTAGAGAGTCATCCATGTGTTGTGTTTATCACTAGTTTGTTTTAAAGGGAATGATCAACAGTAAAAAAAAAAAATCCTATTAAAACGTGGGCAAAGGACATGAATAGACATTTCTCAAAAGGGGACATACAAATGGCTAACAGGTATATGAAAAATACTCAGCATCACTAATCAGAGAAACACAGATCAAAGCCACAACAAGATACTGTCTTACCCCAGTTAGAAAGGCAATTGTTAATAAAACAAAACAAAACAAACCCAACAACAACAAAAACAGATGCTGGTGAGGATACAGGGAAAAGGGAACTCTTATACACTGTTGATTGGGATGTAAATTAGGACAGCTACTATGAAAAACAGTATAGAGATTTCTCAAAAAACCAAAAGTGGAACTATCACAGGATCCAGCAATCCCACTACTGGACATTTAGCCAAAGGAAAGGAAATCAGTATATCAACAAGATACCTGTGCTCCTGTGTTTACTGCAGCACCATTTACAATAGTAAAGATATGAAATCAACCTAAGTGTCTATCAATGGACGAATGAGGAAAATGTGGTATATATACACAATGGAATATTATTCAGCCATAAAAGAGAATGAAATCGGCCGGGCGCAGTGGCTCATGCCTGTAATCCCAGCACTTTGGGAGGCCAAGGCGGGCAGATCACTTGAGATCAGGAGTTCAAAAGCAGCCTGGCCAACATGGTGAAACCCCATCTCTACTAAAAATACAAAAAAATTAGCCAGGCGTGATGGTGGGTACCTGTAATCCCAGCTGCTTGGGAGGCTGAGGCAGGAGAATTGCTTGAACCTGGGAGGCGGAAGTTGCAGTGAGCTGAGATCATGCCACTGCACTCCAGCCTGGGTGACTGAGTGAGACTCTCCGTCTCAAAAAAAAAAAAAAAAGAAAAAGAAAAAAGAAGAAAAAAAAAAGAATGAATGAAATCATGTCATTTGCAGCAACATGGATGAACCTGGAGATCATTATGTTAAGTGACGTAAGCCAGGCATGGAAAGACAAATATCGCATGTTCTTGCTTATAAGTGGAACTAAAAAACTTGATCTAATGAAGGGAGAGAGTAGTATGATAGATACCAGAGGCTGGGAAAGGTGTGTGGGTAGAAGATATAAAGAGATTGGTTAATGGTACCAATATACAGTTAGACAGAAGGAATAATTTCTAATGTTTGATAGTAGAGTAGGGTGACTATGGTTAATAACAATGTATTGTGTATTTCAAAATAGCCAGAAGACAGGACTTGAAATATTCTCAGCATGTAGAAATGATAAGTAGTCAAGGTGATGGACAATCCAAATACCCAGACTTGATCATTACACAGTCTATGCAAAATATCATATGTACCCCATAAATACGTACAACGATTTGTATCTGTAAAAATAAATAAATAAATATAAGGAGGAGGTTTTTTTTTTTTATTGCTGGGTAGTGTCTATTGTATGGACACATGACGATTTGTTTATTTATGGACCTGTCGGGAACATTTGGGCTGTTTCAAGTTTGGCGCTATCGTGAATAAAGTTGCTATGAGTATTTTTTTTTTTTTTAAACAGAGTCTTACTCTGTTACCCAGGGTGGAGTGCAATGGCGTGATCTCAGCTTACTGCAAACTCCGTCTCCGGAGTTCAAGTGATTCTCCTGCCTCTGCCTCCTGAGTAGCTGGGATTACAGGCATGTGCCACCACGCTGAGCTAACTTTTGTATTTTTCTTAAAGATGAGGTTTCACCATGTTGACCAGGCTGGTCTTGATCTCCTGGCCTCAAGTGATCTACCCGCCTCGGACTCCCAAAGTGCTAGGATTACAGGAGTGAGCCACTGTGCCTAGCCTGCTATGAGTATTTTATACAAATCTTTTGGAAGACATGTGTTTTTGTTTATCTTGGGTAAATACCTAAGAGTGGAATTGTTGGGTCATAGGTTAAGTGTAGGATTGGCTTTTATTAAAAAATTGCCACAGAAATTTCCAAAGTGATCATACCGTTTTACATTCCCACCAGCCTTAACAGGTGACAGAAGAATTAGAAACCAGCGTGTATCAAATGCACTTTTCACTAAATGGTGAGTTGTTCGGGTTGGTCCACATCCTTGCCAACATTTGGTGTTGTCAGTCTTTGATTTTAGTCATTCTAGTGGGTACATAACAGTCTCTCACTGCAGTTTTAATTTACATTTCCCCTGATAACTGACAATATTGAGTAGCTCCATTGTAAAGATCAGAAAATGGAGGCTCAGAGAGGTTCAGTAATTTACTCAAGGCTCCACAGACTGAAGAGCTAGTGTTCCAACACACTGCAGTGGTCTGAATGTTTGCATCTCCCTGAAATTCGTACGTTGGAACTTCACCACGAACATGATGGTATTAGGAAGTGAGCCCTTTGTCGGGGGATTAGGTCATGGGGATGGAGCCCTCAGGAATGGGATTAGTGCCCTTATAAAGGAGTCCCCAGGGAGATCCTTGGCCTTTTCCACAGCTAGAAAGGGCCATCAATGAACAAGAAAGTGGGCCCTCACCAGATACCAAATCTGACAGCACCTTGATCTTGGACTCCTACCTCCAGAACTGTGAGAAATAAATTTCTGTTGTTTATAAGCCATCCAGTGTATAGCAGCCCAAACAACAAACACACCCACTTCTCTCGACTTTAAAACTATAGCTTGAAACTATAAAGATGTGCTGTATTCGTCTTTCCGTGAATTCCTCCAATCTCTCATCACAGGACACCTTTCCTGGACTCTCCTGAGGCTCTGAGCTGCCTGGCACCCAGAACATCAACCACCTAAAGAAACATGTAATTGAGAAAGAGGAAGGAATCCCACAAGGGACAGAAAGCTTGCTTTTGAGGCAGCCGCTAATTACTCTCTAGGGCATTTTTACAACAAATGTAAAAGTGGGTTTCATTGTTAAAATCCCAGTTACTGAAGGCAATTCTACCTGATGTTTCTGAGCCAGATCCCCCCAAGCTCGATTCACATGGCTTGAGGGTTGTTTTCCAGCCCTCCTTGGAGGCAGGGGGATGAGTCTCGTGACTTCTTGAGCCCCTCTTGGCATGGCAGGTGTGGTTTTTTTGTCAGACATTATTGGCTTTGCAGCTTGTGGAACTCAGAGCATCCTCCCCGGCTAAGTAACCCCTTGCTGTTGTTTTTATGTTGTTTCCAGTGGGTTCAGACTTGGCAGGGTCCAGATGGCCTTGGGGTTGATGGCTGGGCACAGACTTTGGAAAGCTTTATGTTTATGCTCCAGACTTTGTTTGCAAACAACTATAACTGTGCTGCCTAAATGTCCTTGCCCTTGACCGGGTTTTATGAGCTCCCAGGTTCTGACTCAGGAAAATTAGTAATTGCAAAGCTACATGGGGATAATTCAGGCTGTCCCTGTTGCCCCTTCGTCGGTCAGAGGTGGCCTGGGATCAACCACACCTTCTTCTCCTGTGACTCCCTGTCCATCTTCCCTGGAGGAATCTCCTTCCTCCTTTCTTACCTCCATGGATCTGGCAGGGCTGCCCCTCTGCCCTCAGCTCCAGGGACATGAGACCATCCCCAGGCAATCAGAACACTCCATATCTCTGCCTGTGATGATTAGTTAAAGAATGTGCACATGACTCAACTGGGCCAATGAGATTCCATGCTGGTAATTTTGCTGGTAAAGAAGTGGTTTCTTTCTCTTGGTTTGCAAAGCTGGAAGGGTGTCGGCCTGGAGCTGTTGGTGGCCATTCTTGCCACCATGCAAAGAGAACCTTCAAGACTAACAGTGAAGAAGTCAGAGCCATGTGGTGGAGAGGAACAGATTCCAAATGATAGCAGTGGGGTTCCTTGGTCCAGCTGCACCTGAAGCCTGCCCTTTTCAATTTTGTGATCCAATCAATTTCCCTTTGTGCTTAAACCAATCTGATGTAGGTTCTTGTCACTTGCAACTAAAAAATATTCTGACCTATCAATGTAGGTGTTGGGGGGTGGGGGTGGGGGAGTTAGGGGTAGGAAGGATAAGAAATTCCGAAAACCTAAGCACTCTCTTTAAAATCTCAGGATACAGAGGAAGTCTAGGGGTCACTTTAGGGTCCTCAGGTTTCACCACTTGCCCACTCACAGAATGTCTCTACTTTATCCCTGACAAGGCAATCAGGCTCTGCTTGTATGCCTCCCATGGCAAAGAACTCAGTTTCTCTCCAGGTAGCCCATTTCATCAAGGGGCAGCTCTGCTGGCTACAAATTAAGGCAGAATGTCTGCCAATAAGGGAGTGGAGAGAACAAAAGATAGCCTTGCCTCCTCCCTTTCCTTCCTTCAGTCTGTTCTCTTCACGGCAGCCAGAATGGTCCAGTTATAATTTGTCGGAGAGTGTTGCTTCCTACTCAGAAACCTCCAATGGCTCCCATCTCATTGCACAGTGAAATTCAAAGTCCTCACCAGGGCATAAGAGGCCCTTCAGGATTTTACCACTTACCTCTCTGGCCTTGTCACCCACTTTCTCTGCTTTGTCATTCACTCCACCCCAGGAACACTGATCCCCTTACTTTTTCTAGAACTTTGCAGCTGCCGTTTCCTGGCATGGACTGTCTTCTGCCAGACTGCCAATGGCTGGCTCTCTTGCCTTCTTCAAACAGCTTTCTCCCTCTCTCACCTCCTCCAAGTCTTTGCTCAAATGTTACCTTTGCTTCAAATGTTACCGTAACACCCCATTTAAAATTGTAGCTTCCCCACCTCAACACTCACTACTGCTACACTCTATATTATTTTTGTCCTTATCATCTGTCCCCATGTGACCCATTGCTATAAATAGTTTACTAATGTTTCTCATTGTTTCCCATTTACAAAGGTAGAGAATTTTCATCTGTTGCTCACAGCTGTATCCTATCTAGAACAGTACCTGTCACATAGTAGGTGCTCATTAAATATTAGTTGAATGAACCATTCAGTAATTCAACTTGAGAATGGGGCCTGGCAAACACTAGGTGCCCACACAATGCTGAAGGCATGAATGACTGACCCACCCAGTCCCTCAGGGGGTGATAGAGGAAAAGGGGGGTTAGTTTGTTTCTCTCTGGAGCCCCATGGCAGCCAGGCAGCCAGGTCCCTGCAGCCTGATGTGACAGCTGGTGGCTGTCTGAGATGTGGGGAACTCTTAAGCAAAACAGACACGCTCCGTCTCTCCCAACGCCCACTGACTGCAGCTGGAGGTGGAGATGGAGAAATCAATATAAAGATTGGCTTTGGAGGAAAGGAAAAGAAGATAAGGGCTCTCTACTTCATTGAGGAGGCAGTTGCAGAAAGGACAGGTGGGGGCTGTGTGATGGTGTCACATGGTGCACACCGACCTTCGTAGCCCTACTTTGTGTTCTGTTCCCTGAGTTGCAGGTGTGGATTCCCACTCCCAGGCTTCGTTCATAGAGATACTCAGCTCCTGAAGCCTTGAGAGTTCCTCCCAGACCATGTTTCCCCTGTTCAGAGTTTAGGCATTTATCATATGCTGGAAAGTGTCAAGTGACTTACTAGGCCCACTAGTGTCTGGCTCCAGTGTGCAGGTGCTGGGGATACAGGGGTGAACAAGACAAGACAGACAAAAATCCAGGCCTTCATGGCCAGGGAGAGAGACAGATAGTGAACAAGATAAATAAGTAAAATGTGTAGTGTGTGTGATGGTTGTAAACACCAAGGAGAAAAACAAATCTGGAAAAAGGTAAGAGTTGTTGGGTGTGGAACTGCAATATTATATAGTGACATTTGGGGAAGGAGCAAGCCACATGGTTATCTGGAGGAATGTGCCAGGCAGAGCAGCCAGTGCAAAGGCCCTGAGGTGGGAACATACTTGGAGAATTCGAAGACTAGCAAGGGAGCCAGCATTGTTGGAGTGAATAAGCAACGTCATTCATGTCAATGTCAGAGAGGTAATGGGGGTAGCAGAACTATTATAAGCATGGAGATTGAGATTGGTGTATTAGTCTGTTTTCACACTGCTGATAAAGACATACCAGATACTGGGTAATTTATAAAGAAAAAGAGGTTTAATAGACCCACAGTTCCACATGGCTGGGGAGGCCTCATGATCATGGCAGAAGGTGAAAGGAAAATGACAGCCAAGTGAAAGGGGAAACCCTGTATAAAACGGTCAGATCTCATGAGACTTATTCACTACCAAAAGAACAGTATGGGGGAAACCACCCCTGTGATTCAATTATCTCCCACTGGGCCCCACCCATAACACATGGGAATTATAGGAGCTACAATTCAAGATGAGATTTGGGTGGGGACACAGCCAAACCATATACATTGGGAAGCCTTTGGAAGAACTTGAGTAGAGGAATTATATGGTGGCTTCCATGCTGTTGGGTGAAGAGACCAAGTATGCCAAGAACAGAAGCTGGGAGGCAAGTTAGGAGGTGGTCATGATGGTGGCTTTGACCAGGGTGGTAGCAGGGGATACTATGGATGCTCATTAATTCATCCAAAAACCCTTTCATTCAGAAATCACTTATTGGACAGCTACAGTTTGCCAGCACCATTCTGGGTATTGGGGGTGGTGATATGCAAAATTCACCCTGTTTAAATGGAGCTTACTATCTAGTGGGTGCAGGGCAAGAGCCAATTAATAGGGTGACCAACTGTCTTAGTTTTCCTGGGACTATCCTGATTTTAGCACTGAAAGTCCCATGTCCCAGGAAGCCACTCAGTCCTGAGCAAACCAGAACAGTTCACCACCCTAATTGTGGAGATGTGTGTTTTGGAGAGTGAAGGGCTCAGTGAGAGAGAACCAAGCTCCAACACCACAGCTATCCACTCTTGATGATCTGGCTGACCACCTCCCCATTGTTCACAGATGGAGAAAAGGCTCAGGGAGGAAGGTGTGGGCCCAAGGTGATGTGGCAAATTAGTGGCAAGGCTGGGCATCAAATTGAGGCCTCACATTTTAGAGTTGGAAGAAATCAGAGCTTGGGAAAAGGAGGCAGCATCACTAGCCACTAATGAAAGGCAAAGGAAGTTTCCAGTGAGAGACTGGGACAGAAGAGAGAATCCACAAACAGACACGGTCTTGATGTTGACAGAAGAGACATTCGAAATCGTGGAGACCAAATGGACTATTTACTGAATAGTGATTTTTTGGGGGGTAGAGATAGGGTCTCCCTATCCTGCTCAGGCTGATCTCAAACTCCTGGGCTCAAGCGATCCTCCCATCTCAGCCTCTCAAAGTGCTGAGATTACAGGTATGAACAACTACTCCTGGCATGAATTGTTTATACACAGGAAACAAAATGTGAACCCCAACCTCACACTACACACACATACACACACCCCATACACACACAATTCCAGAAGGTTAAAGAACTTAAATGTGAAAAAGCAAAACTTTCTTGCAATTAGACAAATTAATTTCCTGATCTCAGGAAGTAGAGATGGGTTTTCTAAACTATTCATAATAAGCACAAATAAGAAAGGAAAAGTGATACATTAATAATTAAAACTTTTATGCACGAAAACCACCATAGTTAAAGTGAAAAACAAGGTATAGACTGGAAAACATATTTACAATGCAAATAAACAACTGTTTCTGAGTTAGTATTCAGTGTACAAACCAGTAAGGTAAAAAGCCAAACAACCCGATAGAGAAATAGACAGCAGATAGGAACAGGCAGTTCTGAGAAGAATCCCATACAGTCAATAACACATCAAAAAGAGGCTCAATCACATTGGAAGGCAGATTCAAATAATGAGACACAATTTCTCCCCCATCGGATTGGCAAAAATGAAAATGTCATCAATATCCAGTGTTGGGAAGATGTGGTGCCAGGGAAATATTTACACTCCGCAGGTGGGAGTATGATTTGGTAGAACTACTTTGGAGAATAATTTACGAATATTTAGGAAGATTGAAGATGCATGCACCCCTGTAACCCACCAATTGTTCCCCTAGTTTCTGAGAAATGTCACACATACAAAACATTCAAGGTTGTTGATTGCAGCATTGATTATTAAAGTGTAAAAACTAGAAACACCCTAAATATGCATCAGTAGAAGGTTGGACTAATGAATTACATCATACACAGGCAATGGAATGATATACAGCAGTTAGCAAATAAGCTGCAGGAATCATCTTTATCATTAATAAATCTTAAAAAGCATAATGCTGAAGAAAAAAGGAAGTTGCAGAAAAAATACCCTCAATACCATATCACTTCACATAAAATTTAAAAGCGCACAAAACTTGGGCATATAGACAAATGCAATAAAATATTACAAACTGCTTATATCAATTTTAAACACCACATTGAGGTGTTCCCTTTCCTATAGGAAAGAAAGGGAGAGTAATGCTTTTAACATATCTGTAATGGTAAAAAAATAAGTGAAATATGGCAAAATGTTAAGGTTTGACAAAACTGGGTAGAAGTGTGTAAGCATTTTGTTTTGTTTCCTCCGTGATTTTTCGTTTGTTTAAAACATCTTGTAAAAAGAGGAATAATAGGTTAGGTGTGGTGGCTCATGCCTGTAATCCCAACACTTTGGGAGACCTAGGTGGGCAGACTACTTGAGGTCAGCAGTTCAAGACCAGCCTGGCCAACACGGTGAAACCCTGTCGCTACTAAAAATACCAAAAAAATGAACCAGGTATGGTGCTGCACACCTGTAATCCCAGCTACTTGGGAGGCTGAGGCAGGAGAATTGCTTGAACCTGGGAAGCAGAGGCTGCAGCGAGCCAAGATCATGACAGAGCTGATCTGATCTTGCCTGAGCGACAGAGCTGTCTCAAAAAATATATATATATATATATATGCTTATTGCTGGGAAACTCCAAGAGGTCCAGCATTCTTACTGTGGCATTCACACATCCAAGAAACAATTATTGAGTGCCCACTGTGTGCATGCTCCACCTACTGTGTTAGGTGTGGAAGCACAGGAATGACTGACATCATCTTATTTATAATTTGCTGAGTGCTTATATATATAGCAGTAGGGCCAAGGGCTGTACATGCATTTTCTTTTTTTTTTTTTTTTTTTTTTGAGATGGAGTCTCGCCCTGTCATCCAGGCTGGAGTGCAGTGGCGTGATCTCGGCTCACTGCAAACTTCGCCTCCCGGATTCAAGCGATTCTCCTTCCCCAGCCTCTCAAGCAGTTGGGATTACAGGCGCGCATCACCATGCCTGGCTAATTTTTGTGTTTTTAGTAGAGACGGGGTTTCACCATTTTGGTAAGGCTGGTCTCGAACTCCTGACCTTGTGATCCACCCGCCTTCGCCTCCCAAAGTGCTGGGATTACAGGCGTGAGCCACCACGCCCAGCCTGTACATGCATTTTCTCACTTTCCTTTTACATCCCAATGATGTAGGTACTATTATTAGCTTTTTGTCTTACAGATGAAGAAACAGAGGGCAAATAAGGGATGGTGGCAAGATTTCACCCTAGGTCAGTCTGACTGTGGCAGATTGTATTTTCAAAGATGACCGCCATCCTTATAATGTGATCTTGACCTTCTCCCATGGAGTGGTAGGATCTATGCCCCCTCCCTTGGAACCTGGAGTTTTTGACTGCCTTACTGATGGAGTATGCTAAGCCGGAAATGACATTATGTGACTTCAGAAGCTAGGCCCTAGGAAAGTGATGCACTTCTGCTTTGTTTTCTTGGGATGCTCACTCTTGGAATCCAGCCACCATACTGTGAGGAAGCCCAATTTAGCCCATGCAGAGGAACTAGTGAGAGGCCACATGGAGGTGCTTCAGTTGACAGCCCCAGGTGAGGTCCCAGCAGACAGCCTGACTCCGCCACCAGACATGTAAGTGAGGGAGCCTTTGAGATGACTCCAGTTCCAGCCTCCATCCACCTGTGACTGCATGAAAGACCATGAGCAAAACCACCCAGCTGAGCCCATCAACTCTTGGAACCAAGAGAGATAATAATAAAATGATTGTGTTTTTAGGCACTAGGTTTTAGGATGATTTGTTTTGCAGCAAGAGATAACCAGAGATTGTCTCCAAAAGCTGTTCTCCCAGCCACTATGCTCCACGCATCTCCTACCAAAGTGACCAGCCTGAATGGAGAGGTGGACAAGCAGCAGACAATTCCATCACATGTGGATGGCTATGGAGTGAGCACAGGCAGCCTATATTTCCAGCCCCACCTGGATCTGTACCAGGAAGATTCTGGAGAGCTCCAGAAGTCTTCCCTGAGGTGGCGACACCTGCTCAGCTTTAAAAAACAGGCATTCCTAGGGCATCTCAGACACAGGGAACAGCCCATGAAAGGACTTAGGCTTCAGAGACCTTGGCATCTTTGCAGAGCGGCCTCAAGGCCTGGCCAGAGAAAAGGCAGCACCTGCTGGGGAGGGAGGTAGGAAGCAGGTGGTAAGGTTGCTGGTGGGGGCCTGGATGTGAAGGGCCTAGACCATTCCTCTGGAGAGGTAGAAGGTGTTGCAGAAGGAGCGCTTGCTCTATACTCATGCTCGGAATCAAATCCCAACTCAGGTGACCTTGCACAAGTCACTGTATCTCTTCAAGTGCTATGAATGAGCAACTAGAAACCAATGCTAATACTGTAGTTACCATGTCTGTTCCTATTCTGGGGCACAGGATGTGGGTTCCAGCTCTGGGTTTTCCTCACTGCCCATGGAATCTCCAGCAAGTCTCATCCCCTCTCGGAACTCATTTCCTCCCTGGTCTCATAGGAGAATGATTCTGGTCTTCCTTCCCCATGATGCATAGTGTGGCTCTGAGACACAAACATTTGAGGGGGCTGCACACACCGTGAGAAGGAGGCAGGCTGCAGAGGGGCCTGTGTCTTTATGTACAGATAACTAAATAATGCCATGAGGGTGGGGGTGGGTGAGAGGCAGGGGGAGGATGCAAATGCGGAGTTCAGCGCTGTGGGTCCAATAGATGGGGAGGGAGGGGGCTTGAAGCTGTGGAGAGGAAGGAAGACACCACTCTGACCCTGAGGTTAATCATGATTACTTCTCCATCAAATCCCACCAAATTAAAAGGAAGTGTGTATAGGGGAGACAGAGAGAGAAAGAAGGACAAAGAGAGATGGTTGCCCAGGTGGCACAGTCTTGGCTCACTACAGTCTCGACCTCCCAGGCTCAGGTGATCCTCTGAGCTCAGTTTCCCAAATAGCTGGGACTACAGGCATGCACCACCATGCCCAGCAATTTTTTGTGTTTTTTGAAGAGAGAGAGAGAGAGAGACAGAGAGATTAAGAGAGACAGAGAGAGAGAGAGAGAGAGAGAGAGAGAGAGAGAGAGAGAGTGCTTTGCAAGCTGTTGCTGGAGAACCATGAGAGTGATTTTCTGAAATGAAGATGAAACTGCTGAGAGAACAAGAAAGTATCACAGGTTCTGACACTCATCCGCCCTTCCAGCTTTCCCTCTCCCTACCCCTCCATCACTCTCCACAGGGCTCCCTTGCCATTTTACCTTTCCCAGGGCTGAGCTTTGGCCTCCTGGGGCTGCTCCTCCCTGGGGAAGAATGCTGACCTCCCTGCACAGAGAACACATCCCCCTCCAGGGCCCAGCTCCTGTCCTGGGAGGACTTCGCGTATTCCCCACCTCCCTACGTAGGTTCTTCTGCTACTATTACCTTGGCTAAGCTGGCCACAGGGGATGGGACATGTGTCCCCATCCCATGACTGTGAGTTCCCAGAAGGTGGACCCAGCATAGCTGGATCCCAGAGCTCACTTCCAGACAGCCCTTCTCTCCTATCCAGGGCAAGAGGACACTGTTGGGGAAGGGACTGGGCATGGGGGTATCGGGGTCACCCCCAGAGCAGTGAGCTTTCACCTGCCCTGGAGTTGACGTCTACTTTGCCCATCCCCACAGTGGCCCACTGCACAGATGGGGAGAGAGTGGCACTCCCTGACACTGTGCCAGGCCCGAGCCTCAGCACTTTACCACTTCTCTCTTATTCCACATAGAGCACAGTACTTGTCCAGGCTCACCTAGCTGGGAGGGGACAGAGGATGAATCTGAGCTCAGGTAACTTGGTTCCAAGCCTGAGATCTTCAACCCTGTGGGTCCTGAAGCTCAATCCTTTTTTCTGGCATAGTGGTGGAAAGAAGTTTATTCATTTATTCAACAAATGGCCAGGGACACACAGGTGAATAAGACGGAGGTCGCCTTGTGCAGGTGGGGTTAGGGTGTGGTGGGGAAAAACATAGTGAACCAATCATGATGCTAAGGATTGAGGACTGAGGCCCTTGTGGTGCAGGGGACTTGAAGGAGTTGAACTGCAAGAGCTATCCTGTGGGGAGGAGGGGACAGGGGTGGGAAAGTTCTCAGGGAAGCTTCTTAAAGGAAGGACTTGTCACAGCCTGGGAGGAATGTTCTAGCAGATTGGCAAGGGGTGGTGTCCAGGCAGAGGGAATAGCATGTATAGGTGCCAGGAGGCTGGCAGGGGCATGTGAGACACAGCAGGGAGGGAAAAGGTGGGGGAACTCAGGCCAGTATGTGCAGAGCCTTGGAAGTTTCTGGAAGGACTTTGAGCACTTAGGACTTGCTAAGCATTTCACATGATTTGAATCCTGACATCACCCAATGAGGGAGCTCATGTTTGATGCCCATTTTGCAGATGGCGTAACTGAGGCTCAGAGAGTTGCATTCATTTGCCTGAGGTCACACAGCAAGTTGACTCCTGATTCTTTGCTCTTTTTTTTTCTCTATCTCTCTTTTTTGAGATAGGGTCTCACTCCGGTTGTCCAGGAGGCACGATCTTGGCTCACTGCAGCCTCCGTCTCCCAGACTCAGGTGATCCTCTGAGCTCAGTCTCCTGAGTAGCTGGGACTACAGGCACATGCCACTATGCCTGGCTAATTTTTTGTTTTATTTTGTGTAGAGACGGGGTCTCGCTATGTTGCCCAGGCTGATCTCAAACTCCTGGGGTCAGGCGATCCTCTTGCCTCAGCCTCCCAAAATGCTGGGATTACAGGCATGAGCCACCGCACCCAGCCTGATTCTTTGCTCTTAATGCCCCCTGTGGCCTCTTCTCTGGCTCTTTCTGTGGAAGGTTAGAACCAGGACAGGAGAGACCCCAGTCCTCCCCTGCAGCCTCCTCAGCCTTGGCTCCAGCACCCTTAGAAGGAGGAGGAGGAGAGGCATGGACACTGAACTCCACAGCCCGAGGAGAGGGAGGAGGCAAGAGAGAGGAGAGGAGTGAGGCTGAGGGTTTGGCTGCTGCTTTTGCCTTTTCCAGGTTGGAGTGGATTAAAGGCTTGCTAGGAAACAGTTTTCCAGGATAACAAGTGGTCCTTGGAGGGTCAAAGTCCAGCGGCCTCTCCCCTCCCCCGTGGGACTGCACAGACACCGCAGTGAGGGGAAATGGCAGGCTTGTTGTGCAGGACAAAGATGGAGTCAGAGTTGGGGGGAGGAGGAAGGGGAGGAGGAACAGGAAGGAGAAGAGAAGGAGGAGAGGGAGGAGTGGGAGAAGGGAGAGGAGGGGAAGGGCAGGCTTTTCAGTGGCAAATATTTGATTTCCAGAGTTGACCCATTTCCAGCAAGGACAGAATGATGAAGGGTGACATGCATAGGTCTCTGCAAGAACACAGGAGATCATACTCACACCAAGCCATGCACCTCTCAGGGACCCCACAACCACCCTGCAGCCGAGCCACACTGGGTTAGAAACCGCAGATGCAACCCACGACCTCGTTCTACAGACTGAGAGCAGAGCCAGGGAAGAGGTGGGGCCCATAATAGTATGATGGCAATTCTAGCTACGGTTAATTGAGCGCTTACTCTTTGATGGACCTTGAGCTCGGCACTTTCTGTTCAACAAATAATGCAGCTTCATTAACTGCCTTCTATTTATTTAGGTATGGCCCTATCCATTTATTTATATGCCTTTGTGTTTCTCATATAAATTCCTGAGGGAGGTGAAGCTGTCCCTTTATCTGCTGGGAAGCTCATGCTGGCATGCTCAGCGCCTGATGCATATTATCTCATTTAATCCCAACAACAGTCCTATTGTAATCATGATTTCTATTTTTTTACTCTTAATTTTTTGAGACAGGGTCTTGCTCTGTAGCCTAGGCTGGAGTGCACTGGTGTGATCATAGCTCACTGCAGCTTCAAACTCCTCGGCTCAAGCAATCCTCCTGCTTCAGCCTCTGGAGTAGCTGGGACCATAGGCATAAGCCACCGCCTCCGGCCCCATATTCATAATTATATCTGGCACCGAATTCATTCTTGCTGCCTGCCCAGCATTGTGCTAAGTGCTTTCACATGACTGACTTTGTTTAACCCTTACAATAATTCTATGATGTGTTAGAGAGCTTTGCCATTTCCCTTTTGCAAATGAGAAAACTGAGGCTCTAGGAGAACTGATTTGCCAAAGGCCACTCAGCCCACAAGTGGCATTGCCAGGGCACCTGCCTGACTCCAGCGCCCTAAGTAAGATCCTGAACGTCAAGTGCGGTCTTGTCCAGGGATGTGAGGACTGCGGAATAGGTTCCCCCTGAGAACAAGGAGACGTGGGCTGCAACTGCAGTGTGTGGATTTAGGTTAACTTCAAGAAGGACTTCCTGACAATCTCATGGGCCCAGAGGAGTTTCAGATGTGTCCCTGAAAGCAGGGTCAGCCTGTTCTTTCTGGCTCTGCCAAAGGCAGGGAGGTGGCCCCATGGCCTCTGGAGGCTGTTCCAGCCTGGGCTGGGCTTTGCAGTCTCCTGTTTCTCCCTTTCTCCCCGATAGGTGCATTGGGGTCTGCCTGGCTTTCTCTCTGGGTGGGGGCTTTCCTCCCAGCCCCAGGCTCCAGGGGCCTCTCACCCCCATTACCCTCCCCCAAGGCCACCCTTCTCTCTGTGCCCACCCAAGCCAGCAAGGTTGAATTCCTTCCCTATGCCCCTCTCTCCTCCTTTTCTCAGGACACTGCCCACTCAGCTCCCCCTCTCAGAACATTCCTGATGTCCAGGGTGTGGCCTGGCTCAAAGAAGGTGTTCCAAAAAAAAAAAAAAAAAAAGCTGGAGTGCAGTGGTGCGATCTCGGCTCACTGCAACCTCCACCTCCCAGGATCAAGTGATTCTCCTGCCTCAGCTTCCCGAGTAGCTGGAACTACAGGCATGCACCACCACACCTGGCTAATTTTTATATTTTAAGTAGAGATGGGGTTTTGCCATGTTAGCCAGGCTGGTCTTGAATTCCTGACCTCAGGTGATCCGCCCAACGCAGCCTCCCAAAGTGCTGGGATTACAGGCATGAGCCACCACACCCAGCCAGCTGAATATTATTAATATGGGGCCGGGGGCAGTGGCTCATGCCTGTGGTCCCAGCTGAGGCAGGAGGTTTGCTCAAGCCGAGGAATTCGAGGCTTCAGTGAGCTATGATTACACCAGCGCACTCCAGCGCACTTAGTGGTCCCAGCTATTTGGCAAGCTGAGGCAGGAGGATCACTTGAGCTTCAGAAGTTCAAGACTACAGTGAGCTATGATTGCATCACTGTGCTCCAGCCTGGGTGACAGAGCAAGACCCTAAAAAAAAAAAAAAAATCAGCAATGACTTGAGGTGAGGGTCACTATGTCAGGCTAATTTTTTAAATGTTTTCATAGAAATGGGTCTCCCTCTGTTGCCCAGTCTGATCTCAAACTCCTGGCCTCAAATGATCCTCCTACCTTGGGCTCCCAAAGCTTGGGATTACAGGCATAAGCCACTGCCCATGGCCAGTTTGTTTGTTTGTTTGTTTTTAAATTAAGTTAAGGCCAGGCACAGTGGCTCATGCCTATAATCTCAGTGCTTTTAGAGGCTGAGGCATGAGGATCACTTGAGCCCAGGAGGTGGAGTCTGCAGTGAGCTATGATTGCACCATTGCACTCCAGCCCGGGTGACAGAGTGAGACCCTGTCTCTAAGAAAAAAAAAATGAGATCAGCCTTGGAGGGTCCTTTAGATATTCATTCATTCATTTATTCCTCCAATCACTATTGCCCGAGCATCTACTGTGGGCCAGCCAATGTTCTAGGTGCTGGGGACCCTGTGATGAACAAACCCGACAAACACTCTGCCCTTAAGAAGCTCACCTTCTCATGGGTGAAAGGCTGAGAGCAAACAAACAATAAGTAGATACTATACTATTTCAGAAGGTAGTGGGCAGGGGGTGGTTACAGCAGGACAGGGGTCAGGGAGTACCAGGGGAAGGTTGGGTGCATTTTTAGGTAAGGTGGCCAGGGTAGCCTCATAGAGAGAACATGTTTTTAGCAACGACTTGAAAAGGGTGAGGAAGTTTGCTATGGGGATATAACAGGGAAAGAAATGCAGGCAGAAGCAAACAGCCAGTGCAAAGGCCCTGCGGTGGGCAGCCAGGGGCTGGGGTAGAGGGAGGGAGGAGTGCGCAGCAGGGGTTGGGGTGGCCAGAGGGGCTGGCAGCAGATCATGTAGGCCTTGTCTGACATGGAGAAGACTTCGGCTGTTTCTCTGAGGGAGATGGGAGCCATGGGAGGATATTGAGCACAGGAGGCACTGATTTATTTGTCTAACAGGATTCCTCTGGGGGTTGTGGGGAGGTGGACTGTAGGGGGCCAGGGTGGTGACAGAGACCAGAGAGGAGCTACTGCAGTAGTCCGAGCGGGAGATGATGGTGGCTTGCACCACACGGTGGCATGGTGGAGTGGATGGAATTGGATCTGTTCTGAATTTTTCACTCCCTCACTCATTCATTCATTCCATTATCCATCCAACCCATAATTTTTTTTTTTTTTTTTTTGAGACAGGGTCTCACTCTCTCACCCAGGCTGGAGTGCAGTGGCACAATCTCGGCTCACTGCAACCTCTGCCTCCCCACCCTCCCCGCTCAGCCTCCCGAGTAGTTGGGACTACAGGCATGCACCACCACACCTGGCTATTTTTTTTTTATTTTTAGTAGAGATGGGGTTTTGCCATGTTGCCCAGGCAGGCCTGAAACTATCCACCCTCCTAAGCCTCCCAAAGTGCTGGGATGACAGGTGTGAGCCATGGCACTTGGTCCAACCCATAAATATCTATTGGGACCCTCCTATGTGGCAGACAGGAGGGGTACAAAAAACAGTATGCAAAAGAGACCTAGACCCTGCCCAAATAGAGCTGAGGTTTAGTGGAGAGACAGATACTCATCCAATAAGCATGAAATCAACATATCGTTACACACTGCAATAAGTGTCAGGAAGGGGAGGGCCAGGGGGCTACCAGAAGACTGTCACAGCCACAGGCCCCAGCCCAGGGACCTTCTAGCTCAAGCCCCTCATCACGCATGTGGAGAAACCGAGGCACACAGAGGGAGCATGACTGGCTCAAGGTCACACAGCAGGTCCTTGGCAGAGCTAGAGAAAGAACTCCGCCCCCTGCCTCCCAGCAGGTGGCTGTCAGCACCATCACCGCTTCCAGAGCTCAGGCCTCCCCCGCCCCCACCGCAGCCACCCGTGGTTTATGGCCCCCGGAAGCCCCTCCGAAGTGTCTCATCAGCGAGGCCCCGGGCCACGGGAGATGGGCTCGTCCCAGCTCGGGCCAGGCAGCCGCCGATCGATTGCGCGTGTGCCGCCCCGATACTCCATCTCATTAGGCCTTCGTTTTCATCTCCCGGCTTCCTGGCAGCCTTCAAATTATCCCATAAAATTTATTTACTATTTCATGAATACATAAGCAGCAGGCAGGCACAAGCTTTTTATATATTTACACTGTATATATTTCACGGGAGACTTATAGCTGTCTCTAAGGCAGAGCGGGGAGAGGGAGAGAGACTGAGCAGACGGAGCCGGCAGCTGGTGGCAGAGGGAGGAGACAGGAGGGAGGCGCGTGGAGGGCAGGCGGGGACGAGGGGCCCACGGTGCCCACGGCGGCACTGGGCCACACTGGGCTGACCTGACACTGCTGGGCAAGGGATCGGGGAAGGCTCCACTTTGGGACACGCATGTCATGTCAGTGAGGCAGGGCTCCTGGGCTCTGAGGTGTGGGGCTGAGGTTGATGCTGCAGGTCAGTGGTGCTGGGTGTGAGGCTCCAACCTTACAACAGTCTAGTATGGAGGTACTGATGGGTCATAGGGGATCCTCATGCTGGTGGAGAGCTGGACCCTCATTCTGGACCCAGAGTAAGCCCTGACTCTTGCTCCAGACTAAGCCCTGATCTCAGTTACAGACTGAGTCCTAATCCCAAGCACAGACTGAGCCCTGATCCCAGTCACAGAGTGAACCCTGATCCCAGTCACAGACTGAGCCCTGATCCCAAGTCATAGACTGATCCCTGACCATTGTTTTAGCCTGAGTCTTGAGCACAATCACAGAGTATCCCAGTTACAATGTGAGCCCTAATCTTAGTCCCAGCATGACTCTTGACCCTAATCCCAGACTAAGCCCCAACTCCGGTCAAAGATTGAGTCCTGACCCGAGTCACACACTGAAGCCTGATCCTTGCTCCAGACTGAGCCCTAACCCTGGTACAGACTGAGCCCTGACCCTAATCCCAGACTAAAGCCCTATTCTAGTCATAGACTGAACCCTGATCCTAGCTGTAGGCTGATCCCTAACCCTATTACCCATACCCATGACTCCTCACCCCAGCCTGCCATCTCTCAAGGTTTCACTCATGTACACAAGCCACAAGCAGCCTCTTCTCCTCCCTGTGAATCTGCATGGGGACTGTGTGTGGTGACCACATGGTGGTATTGCCCTCCCCACCCCCTCCACATGAGGCATGGCCGTGTGACTTGCTTTGGCCAGTGAAATGGGAGAAGCAGTGAAGCGTGGCCCTGTAGGCTGAAGTCCAAACATGGCAACGTGTGCTTCCACCTCCCCATCCCCCATCCCATCATCTACCAGCTGTGTTCCACCAGTGAGCGCTCCCATCATCCTGGCACCTGGTGGGGAGGACGATGTGGGGTGTAGCCCTCACCAACCCACAGGGTGAGATGTCAGCCTTTGATGAGTTGTTTTCGGGGGCTGAGATTTGGGGGCTGCTTTTCATTGCAGCATAACCTGACTGATACAGCCAGAAACCCCTTTTCCTCTGAAGTCAGCTGCTCAGGGTTCTGTCCATTCCTAATCTCCAAGGTTTTGCCCTACAGAAGGCAGAGGACAGGTGCAGAGAAATCACTCAACATGTCAGAAAACCTGTTGCACAAGACCAGGCACACTGTAGGTGCTCAATAAATGCTTGCTGAATGGGAAAACATGTATTTTTTTCTCCACACTTCTGTCTCAGTCCTTTAGAAAATCTGCTCATCCCAATACAGTGAGATGCCAGTCCAGGAGCCTTGAAGGACAGTGGTTGTGCCCAGAAAGTTCTTCTGGAATCGAATCCTGTCTCCAATATCAGCCGTGTGGCCTTGGGAGAGTCTCTCTCCACTCTTGGTGCCTCTGAGTGCCCTATCTATATGGAATGGAGAGAGGAATCCAAGCCTCTGTGTGTCTCACATCCTGGCTTCTCCAGAGATCTGGCTGGTCAAACCCTCCAAATGTCAAGCCACTGGTACCATCTGCTATCATTTTTGTATTTCTCCACTCAGCTGTTCTATCTTCATTGTTATCACTGTCTTGACCATCCTCATCACTGCTAATGTTCACTGAGCACTTACTATGTACCAGACCTAGAGCCTTTACTCATTTTAATCTTCTTAATGACTCTCAGAGGTCAGTTGTTACTCTTTCATCTACGCATTAATTCACTTATGAACTCTCTGTTCACCTAATGATCTCTTTTATATCTCCCTCTCTCCTTCCTTCTTCCTTCCCTCCCCCTGCTTCCTTCTTTCCTTCCACTGTCTCCTCCCTTCCTCCCCTCCCTCCCTCCCCCCTCTCTTCCTTCCTTCCTTCCTCTTTCCTCTCTCTCTTTCCTCCCTCCCTCCCTCCCTCCCATCCTTCCTCCCTCTCTCTTCTCCCTTTCTCCCTCCCTCCTTTTTCCCTTCCTTCCTCCCTTTCTTTCTTCTCCCATACCTCCCTCCCTCCTTCTGTCCCTCTCTCCTTCCCTCATTCATTCAAAAGCAGTCTATTACAAGGTGAGGAACATGGGCTCTGGACTCTGACTGTCTCGGTTCAAATTCTGGTGCCATCTTTTACTAACTGTATGACACTGGGCAAATTAATTCCTCTGTCTGCCCTGGTTCCTGCATCTGTAAAATGGAAATAGTAATCACTTTTTCCTCCAGGAATTGGTGCAAAGATGAATTGAGTTATGCTTCAAATAGTACTTGGCAGAGTCAGCAGTGAGTAAATGCTGGTCATGATTATTCACAGAGCAACTGATAAACCCACATGTACCAAACCCTTCTCAGGGTTTCAGTGAGGGACAAGACACAGGAAAGTAAACAATGACAGTGAACATTGGAATGGTCACTATGTGCAAGGCACTTTATGCCCATTGTCTCAATTGTCACAGAAGCCCTGTGGGATGGGCACTGTCATTACAACTATTTTGGGAATGACTGAACTGAGGCCCAGAGGGGCTAAGCAACTTGTCTGAAGACACATGGTTCATAGGTGATGAAGCCAAGATTGGAATCTCTGTGGCCTGGCTGCTAAGCTTGTGTGCCTCACCATTAGGCGATGCAGCCACCATGCAATGCATGCATTCAAGGGCAGCAGTACTCTCCAAGAGGGTGTGCAGAGGCCTCTGCATCGGGGACTGAGCAATGAGGCTTCCCCAGGCCAGGGGGGCAGTGGGGTCCTCTGAGCTGGCCCATCCAAGGGAATCTTCTGGAGTCTCCTCGTAAACCACCAACACCCTGACCTCCATCCAACTCCAGAAGGACTTGCTTTCCCTGTGGGTCCTCTGGCCTCTCCCACTCTCCCAGGGAGGCTGTGAATCCACATGCTACAGAAGCAGGGGCTGCCAGAACCCCACCTGCCCTCCCCGCTCTCCTCCATGAAGAGAGGAGCTCCGTAACTGCACAGGGCTCAGTGTGAAGGGCTCCGAGGCAGGCACACATCTCACATTGCAGCTTCTTTTGTCCGGACCATGTAGCATTTATTATTAATTGTAATAATAATTATAATTGCTTATCGATCTCCTCCAATGCACCCGGCACTCCACCCAGCACTGAATTCAGGTCACTGCCCAGCAGACACACAAATCTATGCCCCGTGCCATGCATCACACAGTGTTAGTGCTCAATAGACATCCAATAATGTGACCAGGTCCACATGTACGGTCCTGGCCTGCCACGTCCAGGCGCACAGGCTTATGAGGTTCATGTCTAACCAGAGAGCCTCCCCATCAGCCATGTGGAATCAGTCTTTGACCCACAGCCATTTATTAATTGCTTTTTTTTTTTTTAACATTTGCATTGGACCAAGAAAATGCTGTCCTGGAATATTAGAAATAAAAGGAAGATGCTGTCCTCTTCCTCAAAGACTGTCTAGGACAGCGCTTCTCAACCTTTAACATGCACACACATGCCCTGGAGACCTCATTAAAATGTAGATTCTGATTCAACAGCTCTGGGACCCGGGACTCTGCATTCCTAACAAGCTCTAGGAGCTGCTGATGCTGCTGGGCTGCGAGGTTGCAGGCCGTGCCCTGAGCAGCAGGATCTAGTTGAGGACTGACAGTGTTCACTGCAAATAAGTAAACATCCAGAGGAGGCAATGGGAGAAGGCAGAAAGAACACATGTTTTAAAGCCCAAGATTGGGCTATCTATTTAGCTGTGTGACCTCAGGCAAGTGACCTCACCTCTCTGGGCCTCAGTTTTCTTGTCTTTAGAAAACATGGATGATGTTACCTACTGGATAGACTCATGATAGTGGTTTTAATGAGATAACAGATATGAAAGTGCCGTGCACATGGGAGGTACTGAATGCCTTTCTCCCTCCCTCCCTCCCTCCCTCCCTTCCTTCATTCCTCCCTTCCTCCCTCCCTTCCTTCCTTCCTTCTCTCCATCCCTCCCTCCCTTCCTTCCCTCCCTCTCTCCCTCCTTCCAGTTTTTGTCAGCATATGTAACCTAAAGCCATCAAAAGGATTCAAATTATTGCCACTTTTTAAAGGGAAGATGGTGAAGGTGAGGGTGGATGGAGAAGAAGCCTTCGAGGCTGGGAAGGCTGGGGGTTGGTTTTGAAGGATGGATCTAGCTTGGCTTGGCAGGGCTGGCCAGGTGCACACCATGAGAGAGCAACAGAGGCTGGGGATGCCCCACATCCCCTTGCTGAGCTCAGAGCTCACCTGCAGCTGGCGAGGACATTCTGTGAGCTGCCAGTTGCCCTCATGCCCCTCCATGTGCCTGCAGCCTCCTGCTTTTCTGGCCAAAGGTTTTCACCAAGGTGCACAGGGCAGCCAGGAAATGCTGGGGATCTAATGTCTCCAAAAGCAATGGGAGTAGGTGGAGAAATGCCACAACTTCCATGTCCCTCAGTGGGAAAGTTCTGAGGCGGGATCTGCATGGCTCGTCTGAGGGTCCCCATGGACTGACACCCTGTAAGTAACCTGCGCCTTAACAAAAACTGCACTGTTTTCCCCTTCTCTGCCTCACTTTCCCACTTTCTTCCCTCCCAAATAAACAACCTGCACCCAAGTCCTTGTCTCAAGATCTGCTTTTGGGGGACCCCAAACTAAGGCAGATGGGTCGTAGGCAGGAAGTCATCGTCATCCTTCCAGGGATTCAGGTGCAGAGAGCATCACTAGGTTTCTCCAGCCACAGCTTGCTTTCCTTGGTGCTTATTAACACGAAGGCTTTCTCTCTCTCTCTCTCTCTCTCTCTCTCTCTCTCTCTCTGTGTGTGTGTGTGTGTGTATGTGTGTGTGTCTCTGTCTCCCTCTGTCTCTGCCTCTATCTCTTTGTCTGTCTGTCTCTCTCTTCTCTCTCTGCCCTGTATACCTTCCATCTCTCATGTCATTTTCCATGGAGAGTTCCTACTCTGGCCACACTTCAACCTCAAAAGTATCAGGTGTATCACCTCAAAAGTATGAGGTGAGTTAAATCACCTCAAAAAATAGTGGGCAAGGCAGAGATGATTATCCCTCCCATTTCACAGATGAGGAAACCGAGGCCTGTAGAGGTTTTGCTTGTTCAGGTGTTCATTCAACCAGCCTATGTTGGATGTCTGCTATGTGCCAGGCACTGGGACAGGCAACACCTTGGACAGGGGCTCACCTAATGATTCTGAGACATCATCGAGCACCAGGGCCCTTCAGGGAGCTTATTAAAATTCAGATCCAGGCTGGGCACCGTGGCTCATGCCTGTGATCCCAGCACTTTGGGATGCTGAGGCAGAAGGATTGCTTGAGCTCAGGAGTTTGAGACCAGCCTGGGCAACATGGTGAAACCTCATCTCTACAAGATATACAAAAATTAGCTGGGCATGGTGGCATGTGCCTGTAATCCCAGCTACTCAGGAGGCTTAAACACTAGAAGCACTTGAACCCTAGAAGCGGAGGTTGTAGTGAGCCAAGGTCACACCAGTGCACTCCAGCCTGGGAGACAGAACGATAGTCTGTCTCAAAAAAAATGCAGGTTCCAGGGCCCCATCCCCAGAGATGGCAATTCAGTGGGTATGGTTCAGGAGAAGACCAGAAATCTGCAGAG
Source organism: Homo sapiens (assembly GCF_000001405.40). Lineage (NCBI taxonomy): Eukaryota > Metazoa > Chordata > Mammalia > Primates > Hominidae > Homo > Homo sapiens. The sequence continues at coordinate 113,731,001 of NC_000012.12, forward strand.
TAAACCCCCCGAGCTCTACCAAACACTGCAGGTGATTCTGGGACAACGGGTCCTCCCTGGAAAGACTCTGAGAAACACCAATTCAGAAGAGGTAGATTTGGGCCAGGACAGGAGGATGCACAGGACCCAAGGATGCAGCGGAGCCCCACCCCAGGGTGGGAGGCAGGAACTCTCCAGCCAGTGGTTTCCCAGTGCTGGGGTCCTGCCTTGCCAGCCGTCTGGTCTCCCTCTGCCAAGATCTCAAGGCTGTGGATCCTATCCACAGAGCTAGACCAGCTGAGCACTCACATCTCCCCAAGGGGAGGTTTGTCAGGTGACTTGGGCCAGACAGGGACCAGAGTCAAAAAGTTTGAATTTTGTAATGTCCTTTTCAATGGATAAAGCACTCTACAGTGTATAAAGTGCTCACCCACATCGTGAAGCACTTCCCAGTGAGTAAAGGTTTCCAGAGTGCTTCTGCCCTCCTTGCCTTTCATCCTCACAGCCACTCCTTGAGGGGGACTTCTCATCACCATTTTGCAGTTGGGGAGACTGAGTCTGAAGTAGCCAGCCCAAGGGCCCCAGCAAGTGAGTTGAGACTGGAAACCACGGGCTCTGAATCTGAATTCTGAGCTTTTTCTGATCGGGAGGTCACGGAGGACAAGACGTGGCCTGAAGGTGTTTCTAACCTCAGATGACCAGTGCTGCCACCCATTGATGGGGAAAATGCCCAGCACAGGGCATCTTGCCATACCTTCCCCCCTCCTAGCATCCTCTGGCTCCCGGCACTTGTAGCAACAAGTCCTCGTCACTAGTTGAGGTCAGCTGCCTGCACATCCTTCCCGCCAACCCTGCCCTCCACTTTTCAAAAGGCTCCCATTAGAAGACCAACCCCAGCCCTTTATATCTAATCCTCATACCCCTGCAATATGGGCAGCTTTATTCCTGTTTCACAGAAGAAGAAACAGAGGGTCTGGGAGGTCAAGTTGCTTGCCTGAACTCACATCCACTGAACCAGTGTGGCAGACCTGAATCCAGGTCTAAGTCCTATGTATGTGCTTCCCACAGCTGGGCTGCATTCTCTACCCTGTCTTCGAAGCCTGGATCCTGACCACAGTCCTCAGGACCATCCTCAGGCGGGCAGAGTCAGTGGTCGGTCCATCTATCCACACCTGTCCCCAGAGCGGAGGGAAGGGGGCTGCATTGCATCATTCAGAGTGCCCCCTGGTGGAGCCCTCATCGCTGAGAGTTTTGGGATGTTGTTATTGCTGAATACTACAATTAATTGCACAGACAGATTAATTGCAGATGATTCTAGGACAAGGGGTCCTTCCTGGAAAGACTCTGAGAAACAGCAATTCAGAAGGAGAGGCAGATTTGGGCCAGGACAGGAGGCACCGGGCCCACGGATGCCGCAGAGAGAGAGACAGAATTAATTGCAGAGACAGAAACAGAGAAAAACAGATGGAGACAGAGACAGAAAGAGAGAGAAGAGGATGGGCTGAGAGGGCCCTTTGCTGGATTCCTCTGTTGGCTGCGTAGAAAACTAAGAACAGATTTTTTTTAGGCCAGGCGTGGTGACTCATGCTTATAATCCATCCCAGCACTTTGGGAGGCCGGGGCAGGCGCATAACTTGAGGTCAGGAGTTCGAGACCAACCTGGCCAGCATGGTGAAACCCCATCTCTACTAAAAATACAAAAATTAGCTGGGTGTGGTGGCACAAACCTGTAATCCCAGCTACTCAGGAGACTGAGGCAGCAGGAGAATTGCTTGAACCAGGGAGGCGGAGGTTGCAGTGAGCCGAGATCGTGCCACTGCACTCCAGCCTGGGTGAGAGATCAAGACTCCGTTTCAAAACAAAACAAAACAAAACAAAACAAAAAAAACCAGACTCTCTCTAACCTGGTGAGTGAGTTTCTGTTCAAGAAATGACCGAAAATAGATCTATAAAGGTTAGGTTGGGACCCATAAGATGTGGCAAGGCCACCAGTGGCCCAAAGCCTCTGAGACTGAAACAAACTAGTCCTGGGGGTCAGAAGAGGCTGCCACGTACAGACAGGCAGGTTGGTCCCTGCAACAAAGGTACTAGGCCAAGGAGATGTCTAGTGAGGGGGAGCGGTCTGTCTACCAAGCCATTGCCCCAGGCCCAGGGTTGTGCCCACCTGGAAGATGGGAAGCCTTTCTCTAATATGTACAAAGATGCCCTATGGGCGAATGACAGTGCTGGTTCAGAGGGAGTGGGAACCTGGTGACTGTCAGTCTGGAACTATCCCCAAGCTAGCAAAAGTCTGGAAGGAAAAGGTTCAGTTTCAGCCTCATTGAATTATACGGGAACCTCAACCTCCCACAGGAGAGAAACACAGAGCAGAAAAGGAGATGACTTTCATTTGTTTTGATTTTCAAAATACCTTATTTGCTTGAAGATCAGAGATAAGCCATTGTTGCCAGGTAAATGCTACTTTAATTTGTTTTTCCTCTTTCAGGAGACTTGTCTTCTTTCAGTTTTGATGGGAATGATATTTTAAAGTGATTTTCATTGGCAACTTTCCTTTGGAGATTCAAAGTCTAGAATGGGAAAGCAAACCCTTCCCAAACCCTGAGACTATCTAAATTCCATCCATCCGTGCATCTATTCATCCACCCATCCATTCATTCATCCATCCATCCTTATTCATCCATCAATTTTCCATCCATCCATCCATCTATCCATCCATCCATTCTTATTCATCCACCAGTTTCCCATCCATCCATCCATCCATCCAGTTTTCATCCATCCATTCATCCTTATCTATCAATTTTTTTTTTGCTTTCTTTTTTTTTTCCTTGAGATGGAGTCTTGCTGTCACCCATGCTGGAGTGCAGTGGCACGATCTCAGCTCACTGCAACCTCTGCCTCCCAGGTTCAAGCGATTCTCCTGCCTCAGCCTCCCGAGTAGCTGGGATTACAGGTGCCTGCCATCATGCCTGGCTAATTCTTTTGTATTTTTAGTAGAAACGGGGTTTCACTATGTTGGCCAGGCTGGTCTCAAACTCCTGACCTCAGGTGATCCACCTGCCTTGGCCTCCCGAAGTGCTGGGATTACAGGCGTGAGCCACCACACCCGGTCTGAATCCCTGCCCTTCTGGGGCTGACATTCCAGCTAGGGAAGACAGACAAAAGACAAGTCAAATAAGCAACATCATGTCAGTCAATGCCAAGTGCCACACCAAGAGTTAAGACATGGTGATGTGCTAGACAAAGACAAAGACCACACTGAGACCACATGGTCAGAAAAGGCCTCTCTGAGGGAGTGACACATATATGAGATCTGCCTGGCAAGCAGGAAGCTCTTCCATGCAGATGATCGCCCAATATTTGCTAATTACAATATGGCGCACCAACATCATCAACATGAAAGCTCTGCAAAGCATTTTATAAAACCTGGAAATATTCACAGCCAGGCTCATGCCGGTTGGCAAGGCCAGTCTCTCAAGGTGATTGAGAATACACAGCTGGTCCTTGGTAACTATCTTCAGCTGACATCAAAAACCATGTATTGATTATCACTGATGACAATGATGTCCTCCATTTGAGGGGTGGAGTGAAGTGTAGTGTGGTGGGAAGATCAGAGGGATAAATTCCCTCGTCCCTTCCTCTGCTGCTGCCACTCCTAATCCCTCCTTTTGAAGCTTCTGACAGCATGGCCCTTGGAGATCTGGCTCTATCATTTCCAAGCTGTGTGACCTTGGACAAGTAACTTTGCCTCTCTGAGCCTCAATTTCCTCATTTGAAATGAAAACCTCCCTATGTTCTTGATTCGAAAACATGCATTTCCCCCATATTTCAATGATGCCAAAATCAAAATAGGTTTTTTAATCCAGTGCCTCTCAGACTTCAGTGCGCACAAAAATCCCCTGGGGATGTTGTTAAAAATGCAGATTCTGATTCAGGAGGTCTGAGGTGGAGGCCAAGATTCTGCACTTCTCCCAAGTTCTCAGGTGACGTGGATGCTGCTGGTTGACGGACCACCCTTCAGTAGCCAGAAAGCAGCGGACTTATACATTTAATGTGGTTGTTATTAAATCTAGGGGCAAAGCTACAGTTGATGGAATTTTCGATTTCAGGAAATGCATTAACCCTGTGTTTCATTTTATTCCCCCAGTAACCCCATAAAAATGTTTGTAAAGCACCCAGCACACAGCTCGGTACGTCGAAAACATTAATAGATGTTAGCTCACTCCTTTGAAAACCTCAGGAGCTGGTGCGGGATGTGAAGGCAGACGCTGGACTTTGAGGTCCATCTATAATTGGATGCTATCCCCATGAGGCCGAATGCAGGAGGGGGCGGGACGCCGGCAGGCGCAGCAGAGAGAAAAATGTTAATTCCTCTCTCCATCCCCACATCCTCCAGCTCAGGGACGTGTTTGATCAGGCCTGCATCAAACGACACATTTGCAACAAGACAAAACCGAACGCAGGGGACTTGAGCCTGTTTGAATTGGTCCCACTCACCCCCCGGCCACCCCCCACCCTGACCTCCTTCAGACGGACACGTGCAAAAGCTTGTTTCAAGCCACAAAAACTGAGAAGCACCTGGACAATTCTGCCTGCTATGAGAGTCTCCAAGGGGAGGGGCCGGCAGGAGAAGCAGGAAGGGGAATTTGGGTTTTATTTAGGGACTGGGAACTTGGGAGCAGAGAAAGAAAGAGAGGAAGAGGGTTAGCTAGAAAGGAAGTTGAGGAAGCAGGGTACGATTTATAACCCTCCAACCACTCATAACAGGAATGATGCCATCTTGTAAACAGCGTATTCAAGTTTGCACCTTCCAGTCCATTCTCTCACCTGATATGGGCAACAGCGCTAGGAAGAGGCAGTAAAGGGCTTTATTACCTTTTATTTTTCAGCTGAGGAAACTGAGACTTGGAGACTTATGTGCAATTACCCTCAAGCAAGTGGTGAACTGGATTCAGTCCATGCAGATGTCTGGGGTGGGATACTGAGATGCTGCGTTGCTCATGAGCTCCCAGGTGATGAGAAGGGGCCTGGTCCATGGACTACACGTGGAGCAGCAGAGATGTATCGACTTGTCCATTGAAGAGACACAGACCAGGAAATTGATCTGCTGCCACCCCAGAACTGTGTCATTTATTTATTCTGCCCATACGTATTGGGTGTTTCTCCTGTCCCAGGCATTGTATTGAGATACAGTAGAAGACTAGAAGACGAGACAGGCCTGCTCCCTGACCTGGTGGACTTTAGACCTAAAGCAAATAAATTAGACTCTTACAAAGTGTAATAAGAGGGGTTTTGCTTACAGCACACAGAAGTACATTATATTGTGGGGATGGATGTGATGTGTAAAAGGGCCACAGCGAAGAGACACGGGTCGGTGTAGCAGAGGCAGGATATCTGCAGACAGGCTTGAGTGTCAGACTCTCACTTCTCTTGAGAGTCTCTGAGAGTGGTATGCCTTAGTATGTCCATACAAGTGGTGGGAAAATTACCCCCCAACCACAGTATGGACGCTGAAGCCCAGCCCTCAGTTTACTGTGAGAGTTAGCTCTTTGGATTTTTTGAATTGCAAAGGATGTCATTGACCCCAGTGTTACCCTTTCTTCACGGGGTCCTCCGAAAATTCTGGGAATATGGTTGCCAGAGTTGGCAAATAAAAACACAGGATGGTCAGTTAAATTAGAAATTCAGATAGACAAGGAATAACTAGGGGCATATAAGTATAGCCCAAAATTTGGGATATACTTATACTAAAAAATTTAGCAACCCTAACTGGGAAGCTTTTAAAAATATCAGTGTCCTGGCCACAAGCCCAGATATTCAGGGTCAACAGGTATTAGCACTGTTTTGAAACTCCCAGGTGATTTTAATCAGTTGCTAACAGATGAGATCCACTGATTTGAAAGTGGCAAATCCAAGCTGGTGAAAAGAGCTAGTTCCACAGGGCAGTGATCACCTGGCCTTATTGCTATGACCCTGGGAGAGGCTGGGAATCTCCTACATTCAATTTTAAAAGCAGTCTTGGGGTTAAACATGCTACAGATGATTTTCAGCCCCTTGCCAATGCTTAATAAGAACTATTTTGATGGGCTAGGCGTGGTAGCTCATGCCTGTAATCCCAGCACTTTGGGAGGCTGTGGCAGGCAGATCACTTGAGCTCATGAGTTTAATACCATCCTGGGCAACATAGTGAAACCCCGTCTCTACAAAAAATACAACAACAAAAAATTAGCCAGGCATGGTGGTGTCTGCCTGTAGTCCCAGCTACTTGGGAGGCTGAGGTGGGAGGTTGGCTTAAGCCCAGGAGGCGGAGGTTGCAGTTAGCTGAAAGCATGCCACTGCACACTAGCCTGGGCCACAGAGACAGACCTTGCCTAAAAAAGAAAAAAAAAAGAGAACTATTGTGATGGACTAGCAGCTGTGAATGAAGGCAGCAGCAATGAGTGAAATAGTAACCAACTCCTTAGTCTAATATTTAATATTATTATTATTGCTTTTATTGGGCCCTTACCCTGTGCCAGGTACTGTGTTAAGCATTTTCACAACATGCTGTTAGTTTGTTAACTAACCCTCACAGCAATGCTGTAAGATAGGCACTATTATAATGCCCATTTCAGAAATGAAGAATTTGAGGCCCAGAGAGGTTAACTATTTTTCCCAAGGTCACATAGTCCTTTGATGAACTCTGACTCACTGGCCAGACTGATGTGACTGGCTTGGTAGAAATCTAAAGGGAGAGGGGTTGGTAGAGTGGGGAGTGTACCCCCTGCCCTTATCAGCCCTCCACTGGGCCAGCTCTGTAGAGGATGATAGCAACTCCAAAACTGTAGGCTTTCCTGGGAGGAACAGTTAGAAGCTGACATCACCTGGATACATAGTTCCAGACTTAGTAGATCCAGAACACCTGTTGCAAAACCTTTTTTCTCAAAAACCCTAGAAGAGAACTCTGGACGAGAAGGAAGCAAACTTCTTGGCTACTGAGAAGGACAGTGTGTATGCTGGTCCCAAGGACAAGAAGGAGAGCTGGCTCTTGAGTCCCCTGTAGCAGAGAAGGGGAGGTTGTCAGGACCCCATGCACTGAGCATCTCTTCTGTATTCCCTGGTCTTCCCTCTCCCCCAACCTCTCTCTCTCTCTCTCTCTCTCTCTCTCTCTCTCTCTCTCCAGGCTTCTCCATACCAGTTACAACTACTTAGATCTACACATATAGTTTAATGTGGTCACCTTGCACCTGCTGAGTTTACATATCCTCGGTCAGCAACAGATAATTTAATGTGGTGATCAGAAAATGGACAAGTGAAAGTGTATTCGTTTGGAAGTCTGGAAGGTGTACTAGTTTCCTGTTGCTGCTGCCATTTGGGCACTTGGCTTAGCTTTCTGAGCCATCTTCCTTTTTTTTTTTAGTAGAGATGGGATCTTGCCATGTTGCCCAGGCTGGTCTAACTCCTGGGCTCAGGCAATCCTCCTGAGTTGGCCTAGCAAAGTGTTGGGATTACAGGCATGAGCCACTGCACCTAGCTATATTTCTTTTCTTTTCTTTACTTTTTTTATTTAAAAAAATGATAGCATGTTTTCAGCTGAGTACTACCATCAGCCTATTTCCTGCCTGTAGAATTCTGAGAGACAGATAGCCTTTTTCAGTTTGTCATCTCTCTGTCCCTCTTAGTCCAAGGTGACAGTGTTTCTGCTGGTATAACAGTCTCAGAAACCTTGTGGATTTCCCATTCATGTCACAGAGATTCACTTCATTAGACAAGAGGCTCCTCTACAGATCTTTCCTGGATCGTCTCATCTCTATTCCTGTCTTCTGCTGAGATGGCTGAGGGAATCAACAAGTCACATGTTTAATCCCTCCAAAAGCCCTGTATGTGACTCAATACTGTGACCTTTGGGTCTTTCTGAGGCACTAGTAAGGTGCTTTCCAGTCATACCCTTGGCTTTCTCTCCAGAGCACGCTTTGCTGACAGTGAATCTACTAATGTTAGCATCATTTGCAATCCGAATAATCTGATAATATCTCAAATCTTCAAGTCCTGGTTCCTTTTTGTTTAATAGTTCTTCTCTGAATTTTTTTCTTTCCTCTCACATTTTACTTTAAGCAGCAAAAAGAAGCCAGGCTACACTTTCAACACTTTGCTTGGACATCTTCTCAGCTAAAATATAGAAATTCATCATTTGCAAGTCCTGGCTTCCACATAATTGCAGGACAGAATTCAGCTAGGCTTTCTTACACTATATAACAAGTATCCCCTTTCCTCTACTTTCCAAAAACGTGTTTTTATTTCCTTCTGAGCCTTCATTGGCAGAATCGTTAGTATTCGTATTTCTATCATCAGAGAGTTTTTGATGATTTAGATACTCTCTTAAGATGATATGGACTTTCTCCATCATGGTCCACTATTCCTTCTGAGCCCTCACTGGCAACAGCTTTAACATCTTTTTCTTTTCTTTTCTTTCTTTTCTTTTTCTCTTCTCTTCTTTTCTTTTCTTTTGAAACAGTCTTGCTCTGTTTCCCACCCAAGAGTGCAGTGGCACAATCTTGGCTCATTGCAACCTCTGCCTCCCAGGCTTAAACGATCCTCCCACCTCAGTCTCCCAAGTAGCTGGGACCACAGGTATGTCCCACCACACCTGGCTAATTTTTGTAGTTTTTGTAGAGATGGGGTTTTGCCATGTTGCCCCGGCTGGTTTCCAACTCCTGGGCTCAAGTGATCCATTCACTTCAGCCGCCCAAAATGCTGAACAACCACATTCGTATCAGCAGTCTGTTTAAGGCAATCTAGGCCTTTTCTGTCATGTGCCTCAAAATTCTTACAGATTCTACCTAACACCCAATTCCAAAGTCACTTGCACATGTGTAAGTACTTGTTACAGTAGCACTCCACTCTTGGTACTAAAATTTGTAATGGTTTTCTATTGTTGCTGTGAAAAATTACCATGTACTGAGTGGCCAAAGACAACACAAATTTTTTCTCTTACAGCTCTGGAGGTCAGAAATCTAAAACCAGCCTTACAGGGCTAAAAGCAAGATGTTGATAGGACTGACTGCTTCTGGAGGCTCCAAGGAAGAATCCATTCCTTGCTCTTTCCAGGTTCTAGAGGCTGCTTTGGCATGCATTGGCTCATACCCGCATCACTGCATTTTTTCCTTCTGTCTTTACGTTGCCTTCTTCCCTAACGTGGACTCCTCCTGCATCCCTTTTATAAGGTTACTTGTGGTTACATTAGGACCACTCAGATAATCCAGATAACCTCCCCATCTCAAGGCCCTTAATCTAATCACATTTGCAAGTCCTTTTTGCCATATAAGGAAACACTCACAGGTTCCACATGGATCTCTTTTGGAGACCATTATGCAGCTTACCACAAAAAAAAAAATACATCAGGTTATGAACTGGTTATTAGGGCTAGGTCTGGGGTGGGGGAGGGTAAGGAAGTGGAAGGTATGCAAAAAGAAGAGGACAAAGTGAGGAGAGAGGGTGTGAGGGAGGAATAAAGAAAGAAAACCCTCTATTATAAGAAAAAAATGACCATGTTTAAGCCAGCACGTGTGACATGAGCCCATTCATTTAAAATTCCATTTATATAAAATTAGATACATGTGTGTGAGTTAATACACAAAGAAATGAATGAAAGAATGGTCACCAAATATAAATGGCTAACAGGATGATGGGCTTTCAGGTAATTTTTATTGCCTTCCTTCTATTTTTATGTAAAAGTTTGAATATTTTTTACAATCAGCATGTATTATTTACATAATTTAAATATTATAAAACTATTTTATGTGACAGTTTTAAAAAATTAAAAAGAAAAAAGATTAGATTCCCAATTCCAAACTTTAGGTGAGAGAGGATCTGATTAGCCCATCTTGGATCAGGTGATCACCCTTGATCCAATCAGCCTGGGAGGCAGGGTCACATGACACCAACATGGCTCCCAAGGGCTTTCTCCATTAGGGGATGAGGGAATGTGAGGTGAAGAAGGGTGTTGACCTGGCACACGCCCCAGAAATATTGATTACTCCATGTTAGGGATTTTGTTAAAGAAGAACTGTATGTGAGCCATGATCAAAGTGTTATAACCTTGAATTTGCTATTTTAATTTCTGACCTAATCTGAGTCAAGGCCAGCCATCTTGATGGAAAGCTCAGCTATAATTCTCAGACTTTCCTGGGTATGGATATGGTTTTAGGCATTCTTCCTTGGTGAAAGGCTATAGCTAAGATGACCAATGGTTTCTGCTGAGACAGTGATGGGGCTGGCCCCTGAGCCAGGTTCCCAGGGAGGGATGATTTGTAGACCAGAGTTCCAGCCCTGACTGGGCTTCCCATGGCTTCCCAGACTCCCTCCTGTAGCAGATCAGTGAGGTGAAGTTCCAGAAGACCTTGTTTCCAGCCCTGCTTCATGTCTTACCAACTGTGTGACCTTGATCAACTCATTTAACCTCTCTTGGCCTCAGTTTCCTCATTTGTAGAGTAGGGATAATAATGCCTACTTCTTGGAGGTGCCCAGGGGATTCCTGGAGATGATATACATAAAGGATTTAGTACAGAGAAAATGCCTGATAATTTTTTATCTTCATGATTATCATGATCATCATCATCATCATCACTATTAACAGCCACAATGTGCTTGGATTCCAGAAAAGTCACACACGAGCATCCTGGGTCCAGATGCAAACAAGGCCCTCAGAAAGAGATACCAGGAGCCAGGAGCAATATCTGCCCCACTGGCTGTGTGAGGATTGAGGAATGAATGCCCATAAGTGTGAAGAGCTCAGAACAGTGTCCGGAACAAAGCACACACCCAATAAATGCTAGCTGTAGTGAATACCTATAAAGAGAGAGGAGAGGGGGGGAAGGAGGGAGGAGGAGGGGAGAATAAGAAAGTCACACCCACACCCAGAGAAAAAACAGAGGAAGAGAGAGAGGGAGGGAAGGAGAGACAGAAAGAGATGGAGAGAGAGAAGGGGAAGGGAAAAGGGGAAGAGAAGGAGGAATGAAGGGAAGAGAAGGAAAGGGACAAGAGAGAAAAAGGAAAACCAAACATAGATGAGGAGACAGAGGCAGAGACATGGAAAGATAGAACATGAAAGAGACAGTATGTATCTAGGGGTCTCTTGTCCTCTCCCCAGATCGCCACCCAAGCTGTTCCCACTGCCACCCTTTTATCCACCTTCCCCAACCTGGCGTGAAAATCCACACCTTCCACCCGTCCATGCCAGGTTGCAGAGGGCTGTCCAGCTTGTTCCCTACCCACAGGCTTACTGATGGGGCTGTGGTGGGCGCTGGCTGTCTCTGCAGTCATCTGTCTTGGACTCATCTAGATCCTATCGGTTGTAAGTACCACCGACCACACTGACCTATCTGCTGCCCCGCTGGCCTCCACCCCGGCTTCCCTATTGGTCCATCAGAACAATAAATGTCCTGCTGTCACTTTCTATTTGCCCACCACCCCTCCTGCTTGGATCCAGGACAGGCAGGGCCACAAAAGGAGATTTATACAATAAGATCCTATCCCTATGCAACTGTCATCCTCCACCCATCTGCAGAGGGGCAACTAGGGGCAGGGGGCTCTGTGGGGGCACCTGCAAGGGGCTCCACCATGGTCCTCACCCCTGGGCAGCAGCAGCGGCGCTGATGGATGAAGAGGCCAGCTTCCCTTGCACTGTCTGCCTGCACTCCGCTCAATACTGCTCAGAGTGGCTCTATTTGTGTTGGGTGATGTATAGGTCTATCTGGGCACCATTGGAGTGGAGTGGATCCTGCTGCCACCTCTCCCTCCTCACCTCAGCCCCTCCGTCAAGAGGGAGGCAGTGAATTCAGCCAAATCGCTTCACCAGCCTTCTGCCTTCTGGTGCCCTGGGCAGTGAGCATGGCTGTGGCAGTCATGAGATGAGGAGGCCTCCCAGGACATGTCACATGCAAGAGCGCATGTAGATGATGGGTCAGTTCGAAAACATGTGCATCTACTACGTGCCAGGAACCGTGCAATACATGCGGGATCCGAGGCTCCATTAGACATGTTCCATGCCCTTGGGGAGTCTGGTGAGTTAGGCAGGGAATGTGTCCAAAACCAAATAAGGATGAAGGAAGCACCAAAGTAAGTGTCCCTTTGTGTGCCACGATCACTTGCTTATCCTTCAAATATTCAGTATGAAATGGTCACAGGTTTCTGCACTTGGTCACTGAGAGGCTGGGAGGATGAAATATGTAGAATGCTCAGCACAGTGCCTGGCACCCGACAGGCCTGCAGTAAGTAACAGGCAGCTAGAGTGAGGCTGCCGGGGTGCAAATTCCAGCTCAAGCTTGAGCAAGCCCTTAGTGTCTTTTTATTTCTGTTTCCTCACCTGTAAAATGGGAAGAATCATAGTAAGTCCCTCATCAGGTTACTGTGAGAGTGAAATGAATTAACATGCATGCAAAGCTCTTAGACCACTATCTGGCACGTCTGAATCTTGTGGAAGTGCAAGCTGTTTTTATTATTACAGCAGTGTCCCCTGACCTGAGGGGGATACATTTCAAGACTTTTAGTGGATGCTTAAAACCATGGATAGTAATACACAGATGGTCCCCAACATATGATGGTTAGACTTATAATTTTCTGACTTTACAATGGTGTGAGAGTGATATGCATTCAGCAGAAAACATACTTACAGTACCCATACAACCATTCAATTTTTTACTTTAAGTACAGTATTCAATATATAAGAAGAAGCTGGGCACAGTGGTTCACGCCTGTAATCCCAGCACTTTGGGAGGCCAAGGTGGGAGGATCACTTGAGGCCAGGAGTTCAAGACCACCCTGGGAAACAGTACCTCGTCTCTACAAAAATAAAAATTAAAAGATTAGCCAGGTGTGGTGGCACGCACTTGTATCCTAGCTACTCAGGAGGCTGAGGTGGGAGGATGGCCTGAGCCCAGGAGTTCAGGGTTGCAGTGAGCTATGATCATGCCACTGCACTCCAGCCTGAGTAACAGAGCAGCCTGTTACTCAGAAAAAAAAAAATTAAAATTAAGAGATGAGATATTCAGTGCTTTGTTAGAAAATAGGTTTTGTGTTAGACGATTTTTTTTCAACTGTAGGCTAGTGTAAGTGTTTTGAGGATGTTTAAGGTATGCTAGGCTAAGCTCTGATGTTTGGTAGGTTAGAGGTATTAAATGCATTTTCAACTTAAAGATCTTTTCAACTGAACGAAGGGTTTATCAGGACATAACCCTATTGTGAGTTGAGGAGCATCCGTACTGTTTTTTCCTATACACACATGCCTGTGGTAAAGCTTAATTTATAAATTAGGCACAATAAGAGACTAACAACAATAACGAATAAAATACAACAATTGTAACAATATACTGCGATAAAAGATACGTGAATGCGGCCTCTCACTTTCTCAGAATATCTTAGCGTACTGTATTGTACCATGGGTAAAGGGGACTACTGAACATGCTAGCTATTGGTTTTACTTTCCTCGATGCTGCAGTTCTTTGGGAGCTTGAGGTTTCACCTGCAAAATGGGGATAATAGCAGTTTATCTACCTAATAGGTGAGGATTAAAAGAGATAATGTAGGGAGATAATGTATATTCAGGGCAACTTGAATCTATGTTCCTGGGCAAAAACATTATTTTTAATAAGACAGATAATGTATGCAAAATGCCGTCTTAGTCCATTTTCTGCCGCTATAACAGAATACCACAGACTGGGTAATTTATAAGGAAAAGACATGTATTTCTCAGTTCTGGAGGCCGGAAGTCCAATAGCAAGGTGCCAGCATCTGGTGAGGGGCTTCTTGCTGTGTTATCCCATGGTGAAAGGAGGAAGCACAAGCTAACATGAGAGACAGACAGCAAGAGAAAAGGGGGGTCCACTACTGCGATAAGGGTATTAATCCATTCACGAGGGCAGAGTTCTCATGACCTGATCATCTCTTAAAGTTCTCACCTTGCAACACTGTTGCAATGGCAATTAAATTTTAGCATGAGCTTTGGAGGGGACATTCAAACCACAGCAAATGCTTATCTCAGGTGTGGTGCTTAGCAGGCACACAATATACTCGTAGTGATGATTATCTGTTCACGCAAGCTTGTGTTGGAATAATTAAGGTATTTGACTTCTCCGTCCTCCAGAGGAGGTTCATAGTGACATACATGGTAACAAATATGTATCATAGGTGCTGTAACTACATAAAACAAAGGCACATGGGTCTGGGCAGCTAGGATAGATAATTCCAGCCTCATCTACATCTACTCTTCACGCAGAGGAGACATCCTGGCACCTCCATGCCTTTGTGCTGGTAGGATTTTCCTCGCTGTATTCATTTCCTAGGGCTGTCATGACGGAATGTTACACACTAGGTACCTTAAAATAACAGATGTTTATCATTTCACTGTTCTGAAGGCCACAAGTCCAAAATCAAGGTGTTGGCAGAGTTGATTCCTTCTGGAGGCTCTAGTAGAGAATCAGTTCTCTGCTGTCTCTCTTTTCAATTTCTTTTCTCATTTCTCTTATTTCTATATGCATTAAGACTCAATCTGGCTTAATGCCAAAGGGTATTTATGAACTCAAGTAACTGCAAAGTCCAGGAGATCGTGGTGGCTTCAGGTGCAGCTGGACCCAGGGGCTCAAATGATATTTTCAGGCATCTGCTCTCCCACCATCTCTTGGCTCTGCTCTTCCCTTATTGGCTTTATTATCAGGCAGGCTCTTCTATCACGGATGCACATATTATCAGTAGCCCAGCAGAAAGAGAGTGCCCCTTTCAGAATAGTTCCAGGCAAAGCCCTGCATGTCACTCCCTTGGTCTGGCTTGAGTCACAGGTCCAGAGTTGAACCAATCACTGTGCATTTGGTTGTCCAGGCTTGAGACCTTCACTCATTTATAACTGGGGGAAGGAGGTAGTGCCTTCAAAGGGAAATGGTTTGAAGTTTCTATACAAAGGGGGAAGGTATGATGAGCTTGCCAAAATACTGACTATTCTCCCCACTCTCCTTCCTTTCCTCTGATTCCACCTCAAATGCTGAGCTGGACTCATGATGTGTGCAGAGACCCTGAGTCCTGGGTGTTCTCCAAGAGCACATGCTAAGTGGTGGGTGGGGTGAGAAGAGACAAGCGTTTGAAAGGTGAGATGTCAGGGCAGAAGAAGACCACTCAGCACCAAGAGTTTCTTTTCAGGGAATAAAAATGTTGAGACTTGAGGCCATCATGTCCACTGCCTTAGTAGTATAAATGGAGAAACTGAGACCGAGGAGGTGAAGGGACTTGCTTGGGGTACCCTGTGAGTCAGTGGCAGAGCAAGAAGCAAAACATTCATCTCAGATTCCTGGGCTGGTCTTCATTCCCCCACACACTTGCATGGTCAGATGGGTGGTTGTTTTGTGGGATGTAGCTACCTGCTTGCAGGAGACTCTGGAGATGGTGCCCAAGAAGAGATGCCATTTTGGATGGACACTGAAGGATGAGTAAGCTTTTGCCAGGGTAGAAGGAATGGAACCCATACATCCAAATCCATACATCCTTCCATTCTCCCTCCTTCTCTTCCTTCCTTTCTCTCCCTCTCTCTTTCATTTGATTCTCCCTCCAGCCCTCCCTCTGGTGTGACTTCGGAGGGAGTGATCCTGGCTAGCACCTGGGAAGAGAGGGAAGAATTTGTTACAGCATCCAGGACTGAACCCATGAGAGCCTGAAATGGAGGGGTAGTGGTGAGACCAGAAGTCATAGCGTTCAAAAGCTTCCCAAGAAATGCAGGTGTCCAAGCATGGAGGGTGCAGCTTCCCATGAACAAAAACAAAACAAAACAACAGCCTCAAAACCAGGAACTGTACCTCCCTTGCCCAGAGTGGCCACTAAAAAAATTAATTTTATTGTGGTAATCATTTTGCAGTGTATTCATATGTCGAATAATCACATTGGACATCTTGAATATATGCCATTTTAACTTTTCAATTATACCTCAATAAAACTGGAAAATAAGTAAATAAAATAATGAAAGACAAAAATTCCAATTCACCAGTGAGTTCAGGCGCAGTTCCCTGGGGATAGCAAAGCTTGTGTGTTACAAATGCTTAAGGAACAAAAGGGAAACCTCGGAGTTGGAGAAAACCATTTAAAGCTACATGCCAGCCTCTACTTTCCCTCTGTCCAACCCCACACAATTTATAACCCCAGTCTCCCTGGCAATTAGCCCAGATCTCCCTCCACGGGGAGGGGTAGTTAGAGCTGGTCATGTGACCACGGGGTCACATGGCCCAGAGCTGGGCAGAAGCAGTCCAGGTCGTCAAAGTGCTCCATGTGCTTTGCTCTGTGGGGCTGATTTGTTGCCCCTTCTGTCCCAGCTTGGCCTGCTTGGAGGAACACCTGCGTATTGGGGTCTGCCTCTGCACTTCCCAGCCTGGTTTGCCTTCTCCTGTGCTAGAGGGGAATGACTGGGAGAAGAAGCTGGGGTGGTAGGCTTTGTGTCCTTGGCAAGTCCTTTATCCTAAAAATGGAGGCTCCTAAGTGAGCCTTAGTCCTCTCCTAAGTGAGCCTAAGTGAATTATCTCCTAAGTAAGCCTTAGTCATTTTCTAAGTGAGCTTCACCATGGCTTTCCTCAGCTGCAAACTCCAGGAGCTGCCCCTCTCAGGGACAGTAACAGCTGAAGTCCTCATGGAAGGGGGAACCTCTCCACCCTCATCCCCTCACCCCCTGCACCTCTGGGAGGTTCCTTTCCCACACCAAGCTCATTCCCTCCCCACTTTAGGTTTCTGCATTTGCTGTTCCCACTGCCTGGCACACCATTCCCCCAGCTCCTCCAGTGGCTAATTTCTTCTCATCCTTGAGGTCTCATTTTAATTGTCGCTGTCTCTTGTCATCCAATTACTGCCTACCCTCACCCCAGTTCCCATCATTGCCTCATCACCCCATTTCTCCGTCTTCACAGCACTCACCCTATCTGAAACTATTTGTTCATCTGTCTATTGCCCATCTCCCTTCTAGAATGCAAACTCCATGACGTGTGTCCCATCTTACTTGTCTTATTCACAGCTGAATCCCCATTCCTGATAACTGTGCTCAACACAGTAAGGACTCAATAAAGTTCATGAATGACTGACTGACTCATTTTGCAGATGAGGAAACTGAGGCTCAGGGAAAGTAAGTGATTATCTTAAAGTCCACCACAAACTATCTGCAGACTCTGAAGTCCTTATTCCTTTCTTTAGGTTATACTTTTCCCCTCATCTGTAAAATGGGGACAATGATGGCTCCTGACTCTAATGAGAAAGTTACAGGACCTAGAAATACCCCTTCCTCTAGGTGGGAACTCGAATTAGAACAACACAAGCCCAGGTTTCTTCTCCCTCTTCAGGTGGGAAGCCTTTCAAACCCACTGCTAGCAGTGCCCAGAGAAGGAAACCATAAAACCCGTGACAGCATGGTTTATTGCACCCATGCAAACACACCCCCAGGCCAAATCAAGTTTCTCCCAAATCACAAAACCCTAGAATGTCAGCGCTGGCAGAGAACTGGGGGACTGTGTAGCCTGGAGGCTCCCAGACCTCACTCAGCAATGGCCTTACTTGGGGAACAATTTTGAAACTCAGATTTCTAGGCTCTACCCTGAGCATCTATGCTAGTTGGAAGTGCAGAGGGTTTGCTGGGCTCTAACACCTGGAAAAAACAAAGGGAGGAAGCAGGATGGGGCATGGGGTCGGGTCAGACCACAGATGTGCAGATATGACACATTTCTGCCAGCCCAGTGGGGAGCTGCAGATCAAAGGTGGTTAGAGGAGTCCTCAGTTGGGCAGAAATGACCATGGCCCTGGTGCCACTGCCATGCTCACTGGCCAGGTGCCGCCCTAAGGAGATCATGCCCTCAATCTCCCAGGGCCTCGCTCAGCCACTGGCCAGGGGCAGCCCAGAAAAAGCATGACCTTGAAGGAAGCAAACACGGATGAGCTGGAAGTTATCTACAGAACACACCCCCGCAGCGGGGCAAGGAGGCTTTTCTTGAAGGGAAGGCAGTGCATCTCCATGCTGCTGCACTGCTCAAATCCATAAATCATAAAATCCCAAATCATAAAACCCTAGAATGTCCCCTGGAGGGACCTGAGATTTGGTATTTTAGTAAGTTCTCTGAGTGCCTTAAGCTCCTAAATGACTCCTTTTCCAGTGCTCTTTCCTTTGCTCAGGCTTCTCCAGGCCAGCACAGTCAAGATGAGCATCCATCCCATATCTGGTAGCCACATTTCAGGAGAGATGGAAAGAGGCAGGTGGCCCAGGCTTCAGGATCTGAGAGAGATGGTTTAGGGCCTTGGTTCTTAATCAAGGGTAATTGTGTCCCCAGGAGACATCTGGCAATGTCTGGAGACAGTCTGGTCATAACAACTGGGGCAGGAGGTGCTAGTGGCCTTTAGTGGGTGGAGGTCAACGATGGTGCTAACATCCTACAATGGATAGGAGAGTCCCCACCCCAAATAATTATCTGGCCCAAAATGTCAATAGAGCTGTGGTTAGTAAATCCTGGTCCACGACCTTCCTGAAATCAGGGATGGTATTTGGTGAGTACTAGGTGCATTTTCCTGATTTTGGCTTCCCCAGTTTGGGCTGTGACCCAGACTAGGTTAGGACCTTCTGTCCTCTGGGCTCTGGCTTGCCAGAGCCATCTGGTGCCTAAACCTGCCATCCTTGTGTTCCCTCCAGGCCTTTGCACTTGCTATTCCCCCTGCCAGAACAATCTCTCCTACCCACCCCCAGCCTTCTTCATCACCTGATGCCTTTATTCATCACTTACTCTGTGCCAGGAACTGTGCTCAGTACTTGCCTGGTTTTTCTCATTTAGTCCTCACAAGCACCACCCTCTGAAGGTGGTGTGATTGTTGTCCCCTATTTAGAGATGAGGGAACAGAGACATAAAAGGGTTAAGTGGCTTGCCCAAGGCCACACAGTCAGGGAGTGACAAAGCTGGAATCCCAGCTCAGGCAGGCTCCAGAGCCCAGAATCCTAACCACTGCACCACCCTGCCTCCAACAGTTGCCTTCCCACACTGTCTGTCCGTGCACTGGTCCGCAGCCTCCTCCAGGCTCTGGGCTTGGTGTGGGCAGGGACCTTGTGCCTGGCATGGTTCCTTTTACAGAAGGGGCCCTCTGGAAACATTTGGTGAGTGGATGAATTCATAGCATTCTGGTCTCCTTTCTCAAAGCTCTATGGCTACACTCAGGTCAGCATCAGAAGGCAAAGAGCCTGTGATCCACCGTTGAGTTAGAATTGAGCATTCGAGTTCCTGGTTCTCATTGGAGAGTGATGGAAGAAATGACCACTTGAGGAAGGCTTCTCTAGGTTTGGTGGAAGCCATAGACACCTATGTTCATTACTGTGACTCCATGTCCCTTCTGTGAATGGTCACAGGATAGAGCTTGCTTTTGAGGACATTGTGTCTAGGGAAACACTGGGCCCCTTCCTCACCTTGGTGTTTCCAGTGCTGGGTGTGGTGCCTGCTGAACAGTGGTGCATTAGATTCCAAGGGCAGCTGTAATAAATTGCTACAAACTATGTGGCTTAACACAACAGAAATTTATTCTCTCATGGTTCTGGGGGCCAGAAATCCAAAATCAAGGTGTCAGCAGGGCCATGCTCCCTCTGAAGTCTCCAGGGGAGGATCCTTCGTTGCCTCTTTCAGCTCCTGGTGGCTCCAGCCATTCCTTGGCTTGTGGCTTCTTCACTCCAGTCTCTGCCTCCATCTTCTTGTGGGTATGCATGTGGTCTTCTTCTCCTTTTCTGTATCTTATAAGGACATTTGTCATTGGATGTAAGACCCACCCTAAATCTAGGACGAGCTTATCTTGAGATCTTTAACTACATCTGCAAAGACTCTATTTCCAAATAAGGTCACATTCACAGGCATCAGGGGTTAGGAACTGGACATATATTTTTGATGCCGCTATTCAACCCATGATAGTGAAGTAGTTACAATAAAACAACAGTATTGGTATCAATGATACTGATATCCACGGTTAATTATTCAGTTCCAATCCTGAGTCCTTTCCATATGCCTTGGCCTTATTAAAGACTTTTTTTTTTTTTTCTCAGAGTCTTGCTCTGTCGCCCAGGCTGGAGTGCAGTGGTGTGATCTCGGCTCACTGCAACCTCCGCTTCCTGGGCTCAAGCGATTCTCCTGTCTCAGCCTCCTGAGTAGCTGGGACTACAGGCACCTGGCACCATGCCTGGCTAATTTTTTTGTATTTTTAATAGAGACAGTGTTTCATCATATTGGCCAGGCTGAACTCCTGACCTCATGATCCACCCGCCTTGGCCTCCCAAAGTGCTGGGATTACAGGCATGAGCCACTACGCCTGGCTGGCCCTAAAGACTTTACCTGCAGCGTCTTCTTTGATACTCACACCAACTCTCACTCCTCCCCAATTCACAGACAAGGAAGCTGAGACTCAGAGAGAGGCAATGTGACTCTCTTCCAAGGTCTTAAATTTCCAAACCTGGCTGTGCATCTGAATCACCTGGGGTGGGAGAGCTTGTCTTAAAAAAAATGCAGATTCTTATACCTTATCCACAGATGATTCTGACTTATGAAGGTCTAGGATGAATAAAAAAATCAGCATTTTTATCAAGAGGAAATTTCCTCCTAGTTAGGTTTGGGAATGTGTCCTGGTTACTGTTGCTGTGTAACAAATTACCCTGCTCCTTAATGGCTTAAAACACTCATTTTAATTTGTTCTGGGTTTTGTGGGCCAGGAACTTGGGAAAGGCTCAGCTGGGCGGTTCTCACTTGAGGGTCTCTCATGCGGTTGCAGTTCACATGTTGGTTGGGGCAGCAGTCAGTTGAAGGCTCAGCTGGGCTGGATGTCTGAGATGGCTCCCTTCTGGTGACTGGCAGGTGATGCTGGCTCTCTGTCAACAGGGGCTTCTCCAGGTGGCTTCTTCAGCATGGTGGGCTCAGGGGCACTGGACTTCTCAGAGAGAGGCTCACAGGCTCCAGGCATGAGGAGATCACACAGCATCACTTCTTCCATATTCTTGGTTATAAGTGAGTCACAAGCTCATCCAGATTCAAGTAGGGAGAGGAGGGGGACAGAGACCTCACCTCTCAGCAAGAAGACAGTCAAGGAATTTGTGTTCATTTAAAAAAAAAAGACTGTGACAGAGTGGCTGCACATTACCTAGCAATACCTTCCTTTTGTCTTTTGGCCGAATGTTCATTGAAGTAGGTTATTTTAAGATGAACATTATCCTGGAAAAAGGACGTCAAGCCAGGCTGGAAGACCTCACTCCTACCTACCCCATCCACCCGATTCCCACCCCAACCAGACTGGAGAAATGTTGTTTAGTCACCAAGTAGGGGGACAAAAAAGAGAATGGAAACTTCTATGTTGGCTCTGACACTTTCTCTCCCTCAATCCCATCCATACCATCTGCTGTGGTCTAATGTTTGTGTCCCCCCAAAATTCCTTGCCCTTAATGTGATGGTATTAGGAGGTGGGGCCTTTAGGGGGTGGTTAGGTCATGAGGGTGGAGCCCTCATGAATGGCATTAGTGCCCTTAGAAAAGAGACCCCTGAAAAATCCCTTACCTCTCCCACCACGTGAGGACACAGCTAGAAGGTGCCATCTATGAACAAGGAAACAAGTCCTCACCAGACACCTAATCTGCTGCCATCTTGATCTTGGACTTTCCAGCCTCCAGAACTAAGAGCAATAAATTTCTCTTGTTTATAAGCCAACCAGCCTATGGTATTTTTGCTACAGCAGCCCACATGGACTAAGACACCATCCCTCACCATGGGAGAGAGGAGGAAAGAAGGAGGTCTCTGTGTTTCAGTATGAACCAGTTCTAAAGGCAGCCACAGCCTTCTGGTTCCCGAAAACAAAAGTGGATTGGGGGTTGTCTGTCCCTTGCCCTCCCTTGACAAACACTTCTCCCTCTATCTTTCTGGGTGACCAGCTCCTATTCTCTTTGCCTCAGTTTCCCCTCTATATCTGGGCTGAAACACAGATTGCAAACTTGTTAACAGATTTCGTGTGTCCCTTTTAATGCTTTTAATCTGAATGTGCCGTCATTTTTAAAAATAAGAAAATTTCACCTTTAAGCAAAATCTGGTTTAAGCAAAATCAGCACAGCTGGCCTTTCTGAGCCCCTCTTCCTGCATGACAAAGACCGAATAGTGGCCACCCCCATACAGGGGCTGGGGCTCACATGTTGCCCATCCCTCAATGCCTTTCAAGTGTCTTCCCACCTGCCCAGCCCCTGCAGGCACTGGAAGCTGCAAGCCACGGTGTACATTGTACATTGTGAGTTAGATAGCTTGATGCCCACTCTGCAGATGAGGAAACCGAAGCACAGAGAGTTTAAGCGACTCCCCTGAGGCCAAATGCACAGGCGATTGCAGGGCCCAGATTCAGGACTCCTTCTCCCTTTTCTCCACAGGCACTGCCGCCTCTGAGTGGTCAGCACTGCCCCTCAGAGAGAGGCCTACCTGGTTCATTTCCCAGTGAAGCACCTGAATGATGCTCCTCCCTGTTTGTCTCTTCGAGGGGCTGGGCTATTTCAGGGCCAACTTCCTCACCATCTTCACCTGCAAGGCATTTCTCCTACAAGCTGGGAGAAGCCTGTTTCAGAGAAGATTCAAGAGACAGAGCAGATCCTGCTTAATGAGCAGTGGGCAGCAATGGAAGAATGAATGTCCAAGGAGTGGGGGAGGGGATGCTGTAAGGAGAACCGGTGAGGGCACCCAATGACTTCACGGAGCTGGCCACCCTCTCTCCTGTTGGTGCCTCAATCCACGGGGACTCCAGGTAAGAACTACCTGTGCCATGAGGGCCCTCTCAGCTCTCAGCTCCCATCAGGCTCCTCCTGTGCCCAGTGCCCCCAGAGAGCAAGGGGTCCAGGGGTTCCTGCCATTCATTCACTCATTTGCTCATTCATTTAACAGCACAAAGTGTATTTACTGAGCAACTACTATGTGCCAACACCAGGCACTGCCTTAGGACTGGGAACACAGCAGAGAATAGGTAGAAAAAGAATTCCTGTCCTGGTGGAGGTGACAGTCTGTTGGAGGTGGCAGATGGTAAATAAATACATTGACACACAAAATCATATATAGGAGGACATGCTATGCAGGAAGAGCAAAACAGAATAAAAGGCCAGACAAGAACGATAAGGGTCACTATTTTACATGCAAAAAAAGGAGAGGAGGGGAGAGGAGGGGAGAGAAGGGGAGGGGAGGGGAGGGGAGGGGGAGGGAAAAACCCCACCTCCCTGCAAAGGGACATTTGTAGAGACAGGGGTCTTGCTATGTTGCCCAGGATGGTCTTGAATTCCCGGCCTCAAGGTAATCTTTCCATCTCAGCCTCCCAAAGTGCTGGAATTAAAGGTGTGAGCCACCATGCCTGGCTGGGGCAAACGGACATTTGAGAAGCCGTTGGCATGAACTAAAGGAGTGAGCCATAGAGGTGGAATGTTCCAGGCCAGGAACAGCAGGTTGGAGTCCCTGAGTGGGCGGGTACCTGGGGCACCCAGGCCGGGGTGGTAGGGATCAGGGGAGATCAGAGAGATCACAGGCAGGATCTGGTAGGTGCTTGGTTTCAGCCTGCATGAGATAGGAGCCGTGGAAGGAGTGATAGGATCTGACTTAGGTTGTCAGAGGCTCACCCTGGCCACCAAGTGGGAAATGGATGTGGGGGGCAGTAAGGCCAGGATGGAAGCAGAGAGACCAGGGAGGAGGCTCTGGTGTCATCCAGGTAGAAGCAATGGGGGCTTGGACCCACGTAGGTGTAGAAGCGATGGGACAAAAAGGTCAGACTCATGGGGAAAGTGACAGATTTGGGCACCTCCACCCCAGCCAGCTGTCCCTCCTCCCTTTCCTGCATAGGTGGAAAAGGAGCAATAAGTGATAGGCCCATTTCCAGATTCCTGGATGGGTGAGGGAAGGGCTCCCAGCTCCTCAAAAAAGATGCCCTGCTGGGAATCCACTCAGCCTCCCAGGAGATGGGGCCTGGGAAGCCACATTGGGGTTAGCAGCAGAGCTGGTGAGTTCAGTGCTTGGGCAACGGTATCAAGTGAGACCCACATTTCCCCTCTAGTCAGCCTCTCTAGTGCTGGTCAGCCATCTCAAAATGCATGTCTTTTGCAAGAAGGGTCTATTGTGGCTCATGACATAAGGGCTAAGTCCCCACTCTGCCACTCACTAGCTGTTCGACCTTAGGCAAGTGGCTGCACCTCTGTGAGCTTTAGCGTTTCCATCTGTAAGTTGGGGACCTTTAAATAGTGCTTATCATCTCAAAGGGTTACTGTGAGGATGGAATGAGATAGCGTAATGAAAGCACTTAGCACAGTGCCCGAAACTGGCCCTGTCAGAAATGGCCATGATATCTAGGAGCTCCTCCTATCAGGAGGTAGAGTCTGTTTCCCCAGTCCTTGAACCTGACCTGGCTCTGTGTCTTGCTTTGTCTCCTAGAATGCAGGGGAAGTAATGTTGTGCCCATTTCAAGCCTCAGCCTTAAGTGGCCTTGTAGCTTCGGCTCTTGGAACCTGATGCCTACAAGCAAGGAAGCCTGCGCCAGCCTGTTGGATGATGAGAGACCCCTATCCCTGTGGACAGCCAGCCAGCCGCCAGACACGGGAGTGAGGCCTAGATCATTCAACCAATGTTCAACCTACCAGCTGCCTGCAGACACATGAGCAAGACTGGCCAAGACCAGCAGAGCCAGCCCACACCAAAAGTGTCACCCAGCCAACTCACAGAGTCACAGACAAAATCAATTGTTATTCTGAGTCCTAAATTTGGGGGTGGGCTGCTGTGTCATAAACACCAACTGACCCAAAGCCAACTCAGCTTGTGTGCCTTCCTGTTGTCTAGGCTTAGCACAGGTGCCACACTAAATAATGCCCCACCCCAAATGTCCACATCCTAATCTCCAGAACCTTTGACTATGTGACCTTCCATGGCAAAAGGGATTTTGTGGGCGCGATTCAGTTAAAGATCTTGAGCTGGGGAAATGATCCTGGATTATCTGGGTGAGTCCAATGTTGCCACAGGGATCTTTATAAGAGGGAGGCAGAGTCAGAGAAGGAGATGTGATAATGGACGCAGAGAGAGAGAGACTGGAAGATGCTACACAGCTGACCTTGAAGAAGGAAGAAGGAGCTACAGGCCAAGGAATGCCGGTGGCCTCTACAAGCTGGAAAAGGCAGAGAAACAGGCTCCTAGAGCCTCCAGGAGGAATGTAGCCCTACCGATGCCTTGATTTGGGGACTTTTTTTTTTTTTTTAGAGATAGGGTCTTAAAAAAAAAACCCTATCAAAACTCAGAACAATGATTGATTTTGTTTGTGACTCTGTGAGTTGGCTGGGTGAGTCTTTTGGTGTGGATCTGACCCTTGGCTATATTGCCGAGGCTAGCCTCAAACTCCTGGATTCAAGCGATCCTCCTGCCTCAGCCTCCCAAGTAACTGGGACCACAGGCATGCACCACTATGCCCAGTCTCAGGACTTCTGACCCTCAAAACTGTAAGAGAATAAATGTTTGCTATTGTAAGCCACCAGGTTCGTGGTAATTTGTGACAGCAGTAACGGGAGGCGAACACAGCATACTAGGTCTCTGTGCCCACTGCACTTCCTGCCTTCTGATTAAAAGCAAGCTGGGAACCCGTTTTCCTTGAGACAGATGACCCTGACTATTGACAGGTATAAGGAATCAGAGTAAAAACAGCAATCATAATAACAGTTACTATTAATTCTTGAACCCTTATCACATGCCAAGCACATTAGGCTAATGGCTTTGTATATGTTATTTCATTTAATCTTCACCTAAGTCATTTGAGGAAGTACTATTTCCAGCCCCATTTTACAGATGGGAAAACCGAGGCTCAGAGAGTTTCTAAAACATACCCAAGGCCACACCACTAGAAAGTGGCAGGAGAGAGTCACATCCGGGTCTGTATGATCCCTGACGATCAGACACTCAAACCTTCCCTGGGCTCAGCTCATGCAGGAGGAACCCTCTTCTCCCTCCCATCTCTGTTTTGCCTCTTCCCCAGGTCGGGCAGGGGGGCTTCCGATACATTTCCCTTACTCTCAGCCCCTTTTTCTTTCTCCCTAAGCCTCAACAAAAGGCTCTTTCACTCTTCACATGCCATTTTATCCGGCACAGACAGCCTGGCATTTTTGAGAGGAACTTTATTTTCTTTTGGCTTTCTCTCTGCTTTGTAGCAAAGAAAATAGAAATTGCAAAATTATAGACAAGTTCTCAGACTGTAGATTTCTGATCCCAAGAATTCCCTGCAGCCAGGACCGGTTGGCACTGATGACTGGCACAACGCCTAGCTTCCCCTCCTCCCAGCTCCAGGCCTCCACCTGCTGGGCGGCATCTTGTCTCCCATCCTTGCGAGAGATTTACCTAAAATTAACAGTACACGATGATCTCACTTGTAGAGGACGTCTGTGACTCGTACTTGACTCCTTGTTATGTGAGAAGCACTCCAGTTCTTTTAGGGGAACCGCAGCTTGCTCCCTCTCAGGCCAGGTGGCCTTGATGTAGCTGACTCCACCCCCAACTTGTGGGAGAGGCAGGTGACCCAAGGCCAACGACAGTGCCACATCCCCTCTCCCATAGTGACTGGTCCAGGCACGGGCATGTGCCCCAAGATGAGCCAATCAGAACTGAGGAACAAGGATTCCTGTGTCTTTCCTGGCACTATCGGGTAAAAGTCACTCTCATTTTTGTTGTGGTCAATGGCTGAGCAGCTGGCGACCATCGTTGCCAATGTATGGGGAGAGGGTGCCTGAGGCTGAAGCCAACACAGAGGAAAGTACAAGTGAGATTTCAAAAAAGACAAACTCTTGAGGCCATTGTTTGAGGACCTGGATCCAGCTGTGCCTGAAGTCCTAGATATAACCATTAACTTTTCAGTCAATGAGAACATAAATTGCTTTTTGCTTAAGCCACTTTGTGCCAGGTGTCTATCACATCCAGCTTGACCAATGTAATAGCCAACGTTTATGAAGACCTGTTTATTTTATTTTATGTTTTTGAGACAGAGTTCCACTCCGTCACCCAGACTGGAGTGCAGTGGTGTGGTCTCGGCTCACTGCAACTTCTGCCTCCCAGGTTCAAGTGATTCTCCTGCCTCAGTCTCCTTAGCTGAGATTACAGGCGCCCACCACCATGCCCAGCTTTTTTGTCTTTTTAGTAGAGATGGGGTTTCACCATATTGGCCAGGCTGGTCTTGAACTCCTAACCTCAAGTGATCCACCCACCTTGGCTTCCCAAAGTGTTGGGACTACAGGTGTGAGCCACTGCACCTGGCCAGAACTGTTTTAGTTTGGGTTCTCCTGAAAGCAGAGCTTGAGACAAGGACTTGGGTGCAGATAACTTATTTGACCAGTGATCTCTGGAAGCAGGAGTGAGGGATGAGGGAGAGTAAGTCAGGGAAGGAGGAACGTCAATGTAAAAGTGCCATTACAGATAACAAAGACTCAATCTCTCTGGAACCTGTTGAGGGGTGTAGAGAATGCTTTCCAGAATTGTCTACTGAAGACCAGAAGACTGCAACAGCATCCACTGTCCTTCACTGTCACGAGGGGCTGACCCCAGGGGCGATGTGGTAGGCAGAATGATGACCTCTAAAGCTACCCATTTCCTAATCTCCAGAGCATGTGAAATGTTCGGTTACATGGCAAAGGGTATTAAGGGAGCAGATGAAATGAAGGTTGCTAACCAGCGGACCTTAAAACAGGAAGACCATGCTGGGCTATCTGGTGGGCCCCGTGTAACCACAAGAGCTCTGATAAGTGGAAGGGAGGGGATGACAGAGGGACAAGCAGAGATGGCAATGAGAGAAAGACTCAGCCCAAAACACTGCTTGCTTTGAAGATAAAGGAAGGGACCATGAGCCAAGGATTAAGGGCAGCTTCTAGAAGCTGGAAAAGGCAAGGAAACAATTCTCCCCTAAGCCTCTAAGGGTGCAGTTCTTGATTTTTAGCACAGCGAATCCCATGTCAGGCTTTTGACCTCCAGAACTGTAAGATAGTGAAGGGGTATTGCTTCAAGCCACCCAGTGTGTGGCAATTTGATACAGTCGCTATAGGAAAGTAATACAAGTCATAACCCTCCATGTCCAGGCTGCATTGTGTATGGTTGAGTGGACTCCCATCACATCCAACAGGGCCTAAGACCAAAAGAGGAAAGACACACAGCTCATGCTGGAGGCTGTGTGCTGTCACCATGGTGAATCTCAGTTTGCTTGCACAGAATGGCCCACTGCAGCTGCAACTTAATTAGAGTTGGGCCAAAGGAACACCATGACATGGGTAACCAGAGGCAGCTGCCACAAGCAGTTCCTTTGTGCCAAGCACTGTGCAACTGAGTAACTCCATCCCTGCCCATGGCAGACATCACTAATCAATTACAGCATTCTTGCTCCATAAGTCCAGACATGGCTGCAACATCATTCCTCACATAGTGCTCCAGGCAGGCATTACCGGTGTGATTGGAGTTGGAAGGGTCAAGAGGTTCCATGGCCATTATCGGTTGAAGATGAAGGAAGGGGCCATGAGCCAAGGATTAAGGGCAGCTTCTAGAAGCTGGAAAAGGCAAGGAAACAATTCTCCCCTAAGCCTCTAAGGGTGCAGTTCTTGATTTTTAGCACAGCGAGTCCCATGTCAGGCTTTTGACCTCCAGAACTGTAAGATAGTGACGGTGGAGGATGAATCCACCATCCTCCTCAATAGCAAAGCTTCAAAATCCTAAAATTGAGAAAGGAAAATACTCTTGGGAACACAGCTCTGCCTAAGAGAAATGTTACTAAAGGGATTCCAAATTCTTCCCTATCTCCACCCTATGTCCACATCACCCCAAGATTTGCCTCTTCCCTTGGGTCTTCTTATTACTTATATGACTACCACATGCTAGTAGATTACTAGTGTCTACAACCATGAAAATTGCTTCTACTTATTGAGCACCTGTTCCATGCCAGACACTGTTATAGACCTGTTGCCTAAATTTTAGAACATTCTCAGAATGAAGGTATTAGCCCTACTTTGAAGGTGAAGAAATTGAAGTTCAGAGACATTAAGTGCCTCTTACTAGCCTAGGGTCATATCATTGCCACTCCTAGTAAGGGAAGTGCTCCCTTAAATGAACAAAACATAAAAGCAAGCTGCTTGCATTTAATGATACAGCATGAGGGGCCGGGCGCAGTAGCTCACGTCTGTAATCCCGGCACTTTGGGGAGGCGGAGGCGAGAGGCTCCCTTGAGCTCAGGAGTTTGAGACCAGCCTGGGCAACATGATGAGACCCCACCTTTACAAAAAATAAAATAAAAAATTAGCCAGGCGTGGTGGTGCACGTCTGTAGTCCCAGCTACTCAGGAGGTTGAGGTGGAAGGATTGCTTGAGCCTGGGAGGCCGAGGCTGCAGTGAGCCATAATCACGCCACTGCACTGCAGCCTGGGCAACAAAGCGAGACCTTGTCTTAATAATAATAATAACAATAATAATAAAGTATGAGGACGGGGCTCGGATAGCTTTAAAATACTCAGAGCAAAAATGGGAGAAGTATGTGAAAAGGGGACTCATTCCCTCATTTATTCATCCAGAGTTTCCTAAGCAGCTACTATATGCTGGGTGCTGGGGCTACGGCACTGACTCTGCCAGATATAGTTTCTATCCTCATGGAGTTCACAGTCTCCTCGGGGAGGAGAGACCACACACAGGCCAATACACAAACAACAAACTTCCAGGTTGTGACAAGTGTCCTGGTGGGCATGAGGAAGGTGCCAAGATAGAGAACTTCAAGATGGCCTCTTTGAAAGCAGCTCTTTTCCTCCTTACAAACTCCCTCCCATCTGCTTTCTGGGCTTCTCCCAAGCAGGTCACTTTTATCCTCAGTGCCCAGTGGTACAAGTCCATTTTCTCAAAAAGCTACCCATTTCCCATCATGGTTCTCATTTCAGTCTCCCTAATCATTTTGGCTCATCTTCCTGTATTAATTAATTAATTAAACATTTATTGAGCTCTGACAGTGTGTATGAGGATGGCCATATAGTTCGCTCTGACTCTGTGATTACCCCCATGAACTCTATTATCCTGGGCACCCAAAACCATGGTGACTGAGGTATGAGGTCTACAATCCATATGTTAATAGATTGCTAGAGCCATAAGGATCCTGGAGTTTATTTGCAGAGTTTGAAAGTTCACCAGCACTTTGGAAGGCTGAGGCAGGAGGATCACTTAAGCCCAGGAGTTGGAGACTGGCTTGGGCAACATGCTGACACCCCATCTCTACAAAAAATACAAAAATTAGTCGGGTGTGATGGTACATTCCTATAGTTCCAGATACTCAGGAGGCTGAGGTGGGAGGATCACTTAAGCCCAGGAGGGAGGTCGAGGCTGCAGTGAGCTATGATTACGCCACCATACTCCAGCCTGTGTGACAAAGTGGGACTCTGTCTCCAAAAAACAAACAAACAAAAACCCACAAATTCCTACAGAGGGCAGGCAGTCACCATGAAGGTGTGAAAAGTAGCTGGGTGTAAGACAATAGGGAATGGTGGAAACTGTGGTAAACTGGAGCCCTCATACTCTGCTTAAACATGGGGACTACTCCTCCTTTCCAGCACATGGCTGCCATGTGGAAATACAGGCCCAGCATGCATAGATTTTCCTATTTTTTTGAGAACCCAGAAATTAAACATTTTTTGCAAACGCTCCCAACTTTTAAATGCTGGCAATTAATGCAACTAAAAATAAAAACTGAATGGGGAACGGGGGCTCATTGCCCATAGGCTGATCTGACTCTCCATCTATAACACTTTTTGTGTTACAGATGGGGAAACTGAGGCTCAGAACAGAGAGGTGGTTTGTCTAAGATTTTACATGGCAGCTCAGTAAAATTGGCCCATTTTCCTTAGGACCAGAAGCCCATGGTGCCTCTTTTCCAGGGTCACTAACCCTTCCCCAGGAACTCCAGGGCCAAGGAATCTCCCTGTGGATGGGGACCAAAGTGGGAGGTGGAGGCAGAGTTTTTCTAAGTTCAGGACTCAGCATGGGCACCCACATTCCTGATGCATTTTTCAGAGGCTGGAAAATGATTCCGGGTGTGTGGACACAAGAGTCCATGTTTTCACTCCAGGTCTCCCCCTTTGTGTCTCTCAGTCTCTCTCTGTCTCTGTACCGTCTATCTGTGTCTCTCAGTCCATTTCCTGGTCTCTCTTCTTTCCGTCTCTCTCATCGTTTCTGCCCGTCTGTGTCTGTCTCTCTTCCTCTCCTTTCCCTCTCCTTCTCTCTCTTCCTGCTTCTCTCTCCCGCTTGTGTCTCTCTGCTCTGTCCGTTCCTCTCTGTCTCTCCGCATCTCTCCCTTCAGCTCTGCTGCTCTCCCTTACTCCCTTCCCACACCCCCATCCCCCCCAGGTCTCTCCTCTCCTGCCCTCTGAGTCCCTCTGGCCACCATGGAAAGGTTACTGTAAACGGAAATGAAGCTGAGGGCAAAAGTAATCAACCCCCTGGCTGACCTCCGATCCCGCTCCCCACGCCCATGCTGGCTCCAGCGGTGCCCCCTCCCCCGCCACAACCCCGGCCCCCCTCCCTCCCCACCCCCAGGTCCCCTTGCTGACAAAAGGCCTATCTTCTCTCTGCCTAAATGATTTAAATTCTAATCAAACATCATTTATAGTACATCTCGGAGCCGTCTCCTGGGAGCTGCTCCCACATGAGACGTTGCCATGGCAACCGGGGGGTCTTGTTTCAGAAATGTCAGATTGCATTATTGTCTTCACACTTCTCTGATAACCTGGTGTCTCTCCCTCTCTCTCTCCCGCTCCCTCACTCACACCACCATCCCCAGGATTTTATTCCTCCTCTTTCTCTCCCCCTCTCGCTGCCTTTCTAACCTCCATTCAACCCCCTAGACTCTTCCCAGGACCCCCCAGCCTTCCTCCAGCCCCAGGACAAAATGGCCTGATCGATTTCATCCTCCAGCCTCTCGCCAGGCCCAAGGTCCCCTCCTGTGCCTCTGGCCCCGGGGCCTCCTCCCTTTGGGAAAGGTGTCTTCCCCGCCACCACCCCTCATCTTCGGCAGACACGCTCCCCCCTCTAGGGGTTTGCTGGAGTGCTCTGCTGTCATTTTATTTTGCTAGATATGAAAATGAGACATAGATTTTTTCCAGCGATGCGTATGTGAAGTTCTAATCTGGCTTTTCAGATTTTTTTTCTTTTTGGGGAGGAGGTAGTGGTGGGAGAAATCAGGCACCAGGCTCTTAACAGGATCCACATGGAGAAGCAGAGCATGGGGCAAAAGATGTGATGAGGTGTATGCCCTTGTGCATGTGTGCATGTGTGTGTGTCTTCACGTCCGTGTGTGTGCACGTGTGTGTGCATGTCCGTGTGTGTGCATGTCTGTGTGTGTGCATGTGCCTGAGTATATGCATGCAAGAGCATGTATGTGTGTATATGTGCTCATGTGAATGTGCACTCATGCCCGTGTATGCATGTGTGCCCATGCATGTGTATGCATGTATGTGTGTGCGCAGGCCAGTGCCCATGCATGCATTCATATGCATGCATGAGTGTGCCCATGCCCTATGTGCATTGTGTACATGCGTGTGTGTTCATGTGTGTCCATACCCATGTGTGCATGTGTGCATACATGCATGTGTTTTTTGTGTGCATGTGCCTATGACCATGTGTGTGCATGCATGTGTGTGATATAGGAGATGTCTTTCCCAACCTGGCTGTTGGCACCTAACAGACAGCTCTCAGGAGCCATGCGCTTGCCCTGGTTGTCGCACAGTCCTTCCTGTGCATAAATGGGCACATTTCAATGATATTTTCACATTTAGGTTAAATTCTTCACCCTGTCTGCTGCGGAGATGCATTATCCCTGCAATAGCCCAGAGAGATTTCTCTAAACCCAATGATCCCCTCATTCCACAGATGGGTAAGCTGAGGCCCCAGGAGGGGCAGTGGCATGTTCCAGGTCCAAGGTCACAGGAGGGCCAGAGGTGGCACTGGAGCAGAAGTTTCCCTCTGCCAGGCCACTCAGGAGACTGGCCGGGTCTCAGGGCTGGAACTGATGGAGCCCCACTGCCCCTCAGAGATGGCACCTTGGAGGCACAGGCTGGCAGCATTTGTGCAGCCCCTGCAGGCTTTTATAGGGCTGGCAATGATGCTCACTGCGTGCCACACACTGCTAAGCCATTACAAGAATTATGTCATTGAATCCTCAGAACAACTAGGAGGAGGGTCTATCATTATT
The DNA here is from genome assembly GCF_000001405.40 of Homo sapiens. Taxonomy (NCBI): domain Eukaryota; kingdom Metazoa; phylum Chordata; class Mammalia; order Primates; family Hominidae; genus Homo; species Homo sapiens. The sequence continues at coordinate 113,764,207 of NC_000012.12, forward strand.
CCCATTTTGCAGCTGGAGAAACTGAGGCTCTGAGTGGTGATGTGAGGCAGCCTAAGTTTGCAGAACCAGTAAATGGCAAAGGTGGGATTGTCTGTGGTTCTACAGTGCACCTTTTCCATTCACCACACTGCTTCCTGCAGTGAGGGACAGAGAAAGCCCTGCCCCCTTGAGTACTCAGAAGACTGGGAAGTGCATTTGGCTTTGTCCCTGACACCCCGAGAGTCACATCAGCGAGTTCAGGGATCAATTGCAGTGGTCAGGAGCAGCAGTGTGGGGTGGAGGGCCTGGGATGGAGCAACCATAAAACGTGATTCAAAATGTCCCCAAAAATCTTATTCCCCTATTTCACAGATGAGGAAACTGAGGCTCAGGTAGGGTCAGGAACTTGTAAACGGCAAGGATGGTGCCCAGCTGGGTCTGAGCAACTCTGGTGATTTCTACTGTGTGATGAGGAGCAGACAGCCTGGGTCTGCCCCTCCCTGGTTGAGTGACCCTAGGATCACTCCCTGCTTGTCTGGAACCTCAGTTTTCCCATCTGTAAAATGCGGATCAAAAGCGTACGACCTATGTAGGATGGAAGTGAGGATGACGTAAGTTAACACTGGCCAGCACTGGTGCCTGGTGCAGGGAAGCCCTGGATAAAGCTCTGCGTGTGATGCGTGTTTTGCAGCCGGGAGCGCCTCTGCTTGGATCTAGGCCTCTTCTGTGGCTGTTTTCTTTCTGCCCCTGTCCCTGCAGCTGAGTGAGGTCAAATCCTTAATACATGCCAGATTCCCCCCTTTCCCTGTTTTTCTTTTTGCCCATCTCTCCAGTGAATGGGGCCTGGAAGAGCAGCGCGTGGGCTCTTATGGGCCTTCCACCCCTCTAACCCCATGCCTGGTACCTCTGCAGCCCCACCCCAGCACACATAGTAAGAGAGAGAGGCTGCCAGGGCCCAGAGTGTGCCACCTGTGCAGCCACGCACAGGAAATTCTTATTAATTTTTTAACATTTTAATTTCTCGTTGGATTTTAAGAAGTATGGACCTGGTCTCAACCTAGACACAGCCAGACACGGAGAAACACGACCCGCTGTCTCTCACTGACTCTCTGGTTTCTCACTGTCTCTGTCTCCCTGGGAGTGTCTCTAGATCTCTCTGTGTCTCTCACTGTCTCTGTGTCTCTCTCTGGTGTCTTCCTGTCTCTGTCTCGCTGGGTCTCTCACTGTCTTTCTGGGTCTCTCAGTCTCTGTTTCTCTGTATCTCTCACTTTCTGTGTCTTTCTTTGTGTCTCTCACTGTCTCTGTGTCTCTCTCTGGGTGTCTCCCTGTCTCTGTCTCTCTGAGTCTCTGTCTCTGTGTCTCACTGGGAGTGTCTCTAGATCTCTCTGTGTCTCTCACTGTCTCTGTGTCTCTCTCTGGGTGTCTCTCTATCTCTGTCTCGCTGGGTCTCTCAGTGTCTCTTTGGATCTCTCAGTCTCTGTCTCTGTCTCTCACTGTCGATGTCTCTCTCTGTGTCTCTCACTGTCTCTGTGTCTCTCTCTGGGTGTCTCCCTGTCTCTGTCTCTCTGGGTCTCTCACTGTCTTTCTGTATCTCTTGGTGTCTCTCACTATCTCTCTAGGTCTCTTACTGTCTTTGGGTCTCTCTCTGGGTCTCTCACTATCTCTCTGTATCTACCTCTGGGCCTCTCTCAGGGTCTCATTGTCTCTCTGGATCTCTCACTGGCTCTCTGTATCTCTCTCTCTCTCTCTGGGTCTCACTGTCTCTCTGTCTCTTTCTGGGTCTCTCACTGTCTCTGGGTCTCTCGCTATCTCTCTCTGGGCCTCTCTATATCTCTCTCTGGGTCTCACTGTCTCTCTGTCTCTGACTCCAGGCCTACGACTCAGCCCCAGGGACAGCATGTGGAAGCGAGAGACAGGGAGAGAGACAAGGCGTCCCCGAGTCGCTGAGTCCCAGCCGGAGAGTGAGGAGGCGCCCTCGGGCCCCGCCGCCCCACCCGGCCCCCGCGGCCGCCCCCAGCATGTTTGTCCAGGGCAGGCCGCATTGATCCGCCGCGGCCGTGCCACCGTCTGGTAAATCCCGGCCGCGGTAATGAACCTCCCCGCACACCGCTCACAAAGCACACACTAGCCCTGGCCCCAGCGGTTAATATTTAACTGAATAAGGGCCATAAATATGGAAAATGGGACTTTTAATTAAATAAGCAGCTTTTAAAAGGGCCCTTGGGCGGGAGAGGCTTTTGTTTAAATATGATTGATTTGACATGTCCTTTAGCTCTCACACTCTCTCGAGCTCCCTTCCGACGTTAACTCTTGGCCCCCGGCCCCGGTAGCAAGTTGGCTAGGCCAGACCCTGTTCTGCTGGAGGGAGGGGGCTCCCTGCTGGAGGAAGCGGGGTACGGTGGGAAGGAGGTGCCCTGGGAACTGGGATTGAAAATCCGGCTGCCCGGGCCTCTCGCATTTGGCTTCACCCCCATTACAAGCTGCCTCCATTTCGCAGAATGCGTATTTCACCCTAAAAGAAGGGGCTAGTGGGCTAAGATGTCTCCAGATCCGGGGGCACAGGTTCCCTTTTAAAAGCCATGCCACCAGCTGCCTGTCCTTTGGCGGCTCAGCTGGTGGTCCCTCCCTCTGTGCCTCAGTTTCCCCATCTGTAATATGAGGATAACAATAGCACCTACTCCACAGGGCTGTGTTCGGATTAAGCACATCCCAGACCATGGGAGGGCCCACAGTGTTTGCCAGGATTCCAGCTGAAGGCTCTGTGACTGCTGCGAGGCGCGAGGCCACAGAAGCAGCTTGATGGGCACATTCTCGTATTTAGCGCCGACCTCTCATTTGCATTTTGCACTGAGCCCCACAAAGGAAGTATCTAATTCTACTCATACTCACCCAGAGGCTCACAATCTTGGTGGCTTATGACTCATCTGAGGAGCTTGGAATGCTCCAATTTCAGGCCGGCAGGAATTCAGCAGTCAGGGAGGTCTGTCTTCTGCCTCCAAGCTAATGGCCTTTACCTTTCAAAACTTTTCAAAAAAAGAAAGAAATCACATCCTATTCTAAATTTAATATTTATGAAGCACCTTCCATACACCAGATTCTGCACATGCCTGACCTCAGAGCCCTGTCATCTGCCCTACTTCCTGGGTGAGGAGGGATCTGATGCCCAGAGAAGCCAAGTAACCAGTTCAGAGTTGCCCAGCTAAGGAGCAGCTGGGATTTGAACCCAGGCTGCTTTGCCACCAGTGCCTTAAGCCCCCTGTGGGCCTAGCCTGGTGCAGGCCCATGCCCTGGGACTCATGTCTGATCTGGTCCTGGCTTCTCTGAGCTGACGTAGAAGTCACCTTCCTGGATAATTCTGACATTCTCCATTACCTAAGGAGGGGGATGATGGTGGTCACACAGCCTCCTAGTTTATCAAGACTCTACCCCTTATGCCCAACCACCATTTCTTGCTCTCCCCAAGTCAGATAACTTAGTTTTTGCTTATTCCCACTCATAGGCTGCCTCTTCCAGGAAGTCTTCCCAGATGCACTCTGCTTGTTATGGTGGATACCTTTTCTAACTCTTCCAGTATTGGTGAGTATAGTGAGCATAGTGAGTATTTAACTACATTCTACTGTATTGTCATTTCCTGCAACCACCCATTCACATAGTCGATTACCATTTATTAATGACCTATGATTTTATTTCTCCAGCTTTAAGATGAACTTTTTTTCTTTTTAACATTTTGAAACTGGGATCTAGTACATATATAATGCCCATTTTCATTTGCTCCGGCACTTTGGAAGGCTGAGGCAGGCAAATCACTTGAGGTCAGGAGTTCGAGACCAACCTGGCCAACATGGCAAAACCCTGTCTCTACTAATAATATAAAAATTAGCCAGGCATGGTGCTGCGTGCCTATAGTCTCAGCTACCCAAGAGGCCAAGGCACAAGAATCGCTTGAACTTGGGAGGTGGAAGTTGCAGTGAGCTGAAATCACACCACTGCACTCCAGCCTGGGTGGCAGAGCGAGACTCCATCTTAAAAAAGAAAAAGAAAGAGAAATACTCTAATTAAATGGATGCTGCCTCTTATAACGGATGGCATTTTCAGACTGTGGAAATAAAACTTTGTGCCTAGCCCTGTGTCAGGTGTTGGAAGGATTGGGGAAAATCAGACAGACTTTTACTTTGCTTTCTGCTCCCTGAAAACTTACTGTCTAGTGCAGAGTATATTAAGAAAGCACCCTTCAGCTGGGCATAGTGGCTCACGCCTGTAATCCCAGCACTTTGGGAGGCTGAGGCGGGCGGATGGTCTGAGGTCAGGAGTTTGAGACCAGCCTGGCCAACATGGTGGAACCCCGTCTTTACTAAAAATACAAAAAATTAGCCGGGCGTGGTGGCAGGCGCCTGTAATCTCAACTACTTGAGAGGCTGAGGCAGGAGAATCGCTTTAACCTGGGAGGCGGAGGTTGCAGTGAGCCAAGATGGCGCCATCGCACTCCAGCCTGGGCAACAAGAGCGAAACTCTGTCTCAAAAAAAAGAAAGAAAAAAAGAAAGCACCCTTCTTTCTAATTCCCAAAACTCTCAATTCTCACTTGTTCACTCTTTTACACTTTTACTTAACCCTGTGAATTCTCATGGCCAAAAATGTGTTCCTCTCTTCCTAGGAATGGGGTGATTTTAGTGAAGGGAAGAGGTTATGGACATTAAGTGTTTATATTCTGCCAGGCCCTGTCCTAAGATTTATCATGTATTATCTCATTTAATCCTCACCACAACCTAATAAGGTGAGTGCTACTGTAATCACTACCAGTTTGCAGATGATGAAAGGAGGCTCAGAGACATTAAGTAACTGGCCCAAGGCCACACAGCCAGTGAGTGACAGAGCCGGAGTCAAATTCAGGCAGGTCTGGCTCCAGAGGCCTCACCCCTAACCTCAGTTCTTTCGACCCTTCCTTCATCCTCCCCCACCGCACCTGTGAGCTCCACGCCCATCACAGAAAGGAGGCTTAGAAGCTCATCTTCCATCAACAGTGCAGGGGGGAGACAGCCCCGAGGAGAAAATGAAAGCAGACGGTCTTCCAGAGGGGCTGTAATCAAAGGTGTCATGTAGAGAAAGCTGGAAGAGCCAGAGAGCTCCAACAGGAGGTTGGCCTGGAGCTCTGTGTCTAGTGACTAGTCTGTAGGAGACCTCTCCTTTGGAGGGATGTCCAGTGCCAAGTCCCCAGGGCCAGCTGCAAGGACAGTTTATGGTTCATGCACCCCTCTATAGGGGTGGCCAGCGGGCTGGGGATGGTCAGCAAAACTCCCTGTCTGTGCCGGCACATCTGTTGCCATGGTAACTCCTCTCAGGCATCACCCGGTTCTGGGTCTGTTTCCCGGGCTCAGTGTTGGGGTAGGTAGGGCTGAGGCTGGTTTTGGGGTCGAGGCACAGGGCTGGTGCTGGTGTTGGGGAAGAGGCACAAGGGCCATTTCTCATGCAGACCACCCACGGCGGTGGCAGGGGGTCGGGGAGCACTGAGCGAGGCATCTGTATTCCTTCCTTGTAAGCCCAGAGCAACAGGGGACAAAACCCTGTGTTGAGTACATTTGAGAAGAGACCTCCTCCCTAGAGAATCTCCTCCCTACACCCCTCAGGCTAATGGTTGGGGCCCTGTACATTCCACTTTCCCGGTGACTTTCCTGCCGGCTCCGTTTCTCGCCAACACACTCAGATGCACTCACTACCATCTCCTTGTAGACTGTTGTCCTCCTAATGGGGCTCCCTGTCTGGCAATCTGTCCCCACGGATACATCCTCTACAGGTGAGCTTGATTTATCTGTTTATATAGAAACAAAGTCTCACTCTGCCGCCCAGGCTGGAGTGCAGTGGTGCCATCATAGCTCACTGTAACCTTGAATTCCTGGACTCAGTGATCCTCCCACCTCAGCCTCCCAAGTAGCTAGGACTATAGGTTTGTGCCACCACACTTGGCTAATTATTTTATTTTTGTAGAAATTGGGGTCTTGCTCGTTGCCCAGGCTGGTCTTGAACTCTTGGCCTCAAGCCATCCTCCTACCTTTCACTTTTGAGTAGCTGGAACTATAGTTGTGCACTGCCATGCCAAGCTAATTAATTTTTTTTGTTTTTTTTTTTTTTGAGAGACAGGATTTTGCTGCATTGCCCTGGCTAATCTTGAACTGGCCTCAAGGGAACCTCCCCCCAAGGCCTCCCAAAGTGCTGGGATTAAAGGCATGAGCCACTGCACCCGGTCGCAGGTGTGTTTTCTTGAGCCAAAGGCCTCCACTTGCCCTGTCCCTCCCTACTCCTTCCCCAAGCACTGGTCCATCCAGGCCTCCCTCCGCTCCCTCCAGGCCACATCCATGCTGTGGGCAATGTGACGCCCATCAGGCCCAGTAAACACCGGAAATCAGTGAAGCAGGGAGCAAAGGTCGGGGTGAGGCCAACTCTTTTTGGTGTCAAAGGAGATTACGAGTCCGGCTCTCAAAGTTGAGGGCTGGGGCCAAAATCAGCCTGTGATCCCAAGTGGGATGAGTTCAGAGGTCGCCAGCTGGTTCCTTTGTGTGTCAATATTAACATGAGAGTCACCTAATTGGGGTGGGTCAGCCAGTGGCCAGAGCCAGGACACACATCAGGAGAAGAGAAAGGGCCCGATCATGCCCCAGGCAGTGTTGGGTGCTTGGCATAAGCCAGCTCATTCATTATATTAATATTACTACTAATAATACTAATATAGGAGTAGTAGAAGAATATCAGTGGCCACATACATTGAGTATCTATTAAGTTCAGGCTTGGTGGCTGGCACTTAATTCATTAACTGGCCTCATCGTTCCAACCTCTCTAAGAATTAGATTCTGTTGCTCCCTCATCCTACAGTCAAGGAAACTGAGGCTCTAAATGGTAAACCAGTGAGCCGTGTTCACACAACGCGAATGGAGGAGCAGAGACTTGGACCCAGCCGTCTGTCTCCTCGCAACACAGGGATGACATCTCCGTTTTATTGACGAGGAAAGCAAGTCTTCCAGATGGATCAAGGCTGTCCAAAGCCACACAGCTAGTCAGTGACAGGGCTGAGTTACAAACCCAGGTAGGTCTTCTCCAGAGCCCACAATATCCTTATTTTATTTTATTCTTTTCCTGTCTCAAGAAAAGAATAAAAGGCTGGAGTGCCTTTCATATCTCAAATGCTCAGTAGCCTCATGAATAAAATGGGGATATTAATATTCCCCCTCAGTGCAGATGCAACATGAAAATATGTGTTAAACCTTTGCACATGCTGTTCCTTCTGCACAGAATGCTTTTCCTTGTTAAAATTAGCATCTTCTTTGTTAACCTAGTATATAACCTGGACTCTAGGCTGGAGTACAGTGGCATGATCATGGCTTACTGCAGTCTTGAACTCCTGGGCCTCAGCCTCCTGAGTAGCTATGACGACAGATGTAAGCTAATTAACCAGTCCTGGCTAGTTTTTAATTTTTTTTTTTTTATAGAGACAGGGGTCTCACTATGTTACCCAGGCTGGTCTCAAACTCCCGGCCTCAAACAATCCTCCTGTCTAGGCCTCCTGAGTCACTGGGATTACAAGTATGACCCACCACACCCAGCCTTCATCTCATTCCTTTTAAGCTCATCTCTTCTATGGGTTCTTTGAAGGCCAGTTGTCCTTCTGTGTGCCACTGTTCCTGCCTTCCTGGACCTAAGGGAACAGTGACTGTCCATTGGCTGATGGATGAAGACCTGCCATCTGCATGGCTCAGGCTAGTCATATAGAGACCAATGCTCATCTCCATTGGTTTTGGGTCGAATGAACCCACGTGGACACTTGCTGGAATCATAGCATCCTAGTAATTTCAGATGCTCACTTCTATGTAGGCTGAGTCCAAAGAAACACTACTTACCTAAAACTTTTTTTTTTCAATTTTTAGTTTTTATCTTTGGAGACAAGGTCTTGCTCTGTCACCCAGGCTGGAGTGCAGTGACAGGATCCTAGCTCACTGCAGCCTCTAACTCCTGGGCTCTAGCCATCTTCCTACCTCAGCTTCTCAAGTAGCTAGGACTACAGGGACGCACCACCACACCCAGCTAATTTTAAAAAATTTTTTTGTAGAGATGGGGGCCTCGCTATGTTGCCCAGGTTGGTCTCACCCTCCTGGGCCCAAGCAATCCTGCCATGGCCTCCCAAATCACTGGGATTACAGGCCTGAGCACCCAACCTCCTAAAACTTCTGATTAGAGTCTAGTGCAATAGCAGTTAATGCATTGACCATTTCTCAAAGGTCTGTTCTGTGCAGGGTACTGGAGACATAGTGGTGAGCAGAAACTGACACTTCCCTGTCCCCCTGGAACTTACATTCTAGTGGGGGAGGTGGACATTAATCACATAGTCATGCCTAGAATGACACATTGATTCTTTAATGAAAGCTCCAGAGGATGGGACAATTTCACAGAACAACGGGCCTTGGCCAACGAGGTTAGGGAGATAGCTCTGACAAAATGACTCTTGAGCTGAGACTCTGAAGATGAATAGATGCTAAGTCAGCAAAGAAGAGAAGGAAGAGCATTCTGTGCAGAAGGAACAGCATGTGAAAAGGTTTAACAAACATTTTCCTGTTTCATCTGCACTGTGAGGGGAGATATTAATATCCCCAATTTACAGATGAGGCTACTGAGACTTTGAGAGATGAAAGGCCTCGCCCAAGGGCGTCAGGTCTGGAGGGAGCAGCAGGAATTTGATCCAAATCTGCCTGCCTCGGCCCCAGCAGTCTGATGCCACATTTTGACACTCTATTCCACACTGGTGCTTAGAAATAGCATCACATGGCCGGGTGCAGTGGCTCACACCTGTAATCCCAGCACTTTGAGAGGCGGAGGCAGGTGGATCACTTGAACTCAGGAGTTCGAGACCAGCCTGGCCAACATGGTGAAACCTTGTCTCTACCAAAAATACAAAAATTAGCTGGGCGTGGTAGCGCATGCCTGAAGTCTCAGCTACTTGGGAGGCTGAGGCATGAGAATCGCTTGAACCCGGGAGGCAGAGGTTACAGTGAGCCCAGATTGTGCCACTGCACTCCAGCCTGGGCGACAAAGCTAGACCATGCCACAAAAAAAAAAAAAAAAAAAAATGGCATCACATGATGATGGGAGGAAAGCTGCTTTTGGGAAAAAAAAAATAATGCAAACAGGCCAGACATTTGTGTCTGACGGAGCTTTTTAAGTTGCTGTAGTAGAAACCCAACTCACACTGACTTAAGCAAAAAAAAGGAAATTTATTGTCCCATGTAACAAGAATCCAGGATGGAAGACTTTGGGCTCAGCTGGACCCAGAGGCTGAAACAAGATAATCAGGGCTTTGTGTGTGTGTTTCCCTTCCCCTGATCCTGCTTCCTGGGTGTTAGCTTCCTTCTCAAGTCCCACGAGATGGCCCCCGGAAGTCTCTTACTTACCCCCTCCTCGCTGTTAGCAGTTGCTGAATTTCGAGAGACTCCTCTTTCCCAGCCGCTCCAGGAAAATGTCCCTGGGTTGGCTCCGATTGGACCAACTTGGTCATGTGCCCATCCCAAAGCCAATCAGTGTAGTTAGAGAGCTGAAATGTTCTAATTGACCAAACCTTGGTCACCTGCCTATCCTGGAACCAATCAATGAGGCCAGGGGCTGGACTCCTTTGGTGGGTGCTGGGTCATGTGATCACCCTTGTATCGGAAGATGGTTCAGCCTCACCCAAGCTCTATGGACTGAGCATGTAGGAAAATGGGAACAAGGAACAGGGAATGCTGGAAAGGAAAAAAAAAATGGCTGGACCCCCAAAAAACTCAAAATAGAAAAGTCAGCCAGGCGTGGTGGCTCACGCCTGCAATCCCAGCACTTTGGGAGGCTGAGGCAGGTGGATCACTTGAGGTTAGGAGTTCGAGACCAGCCTGGCCAACATGGTGGAACCATGTCTCTACTAAAAATATAAAAACTAGCTGGGCGTGGTAGCACATGCCTGTAATCCCAGCTACTCGGGAGGCTGAGGCATGAGAATCGCTTGAACCCGGGAGACAGAGGTTGCAGTGAGCCAAGATCATGCCATTGCACTCCAGCCTGGGTGACAGGGAAAGACTCTGTCTTAAAAAAAAAAAAAAAGGAAAAGAAAAGAAAGCTTGGGTTTTATTGAACACAGGGATGCTTATGAAGATAATTTAACTTGCCCTGCCCTCATGAGGGCTCTGTCCAGCAAGCATCCCAGAGAGTCATAGCATCATTTAATTTCCCAAACTTTTATGGTTGAATCTCCCATTTTTATCTCATACCCCGGGTTTATCCCAGTTTCTGCTAGAAATTAAGATGCTCCCTACTTCTGAAACTGCCAGTTCTCTCTCTGGATGGTTTCTCTACCTCATCTGGAAAATGGAGATCATTCTAATACCAACCTCACACACTTCAGGGGTCGTGTAAATAAATAAATTTAGCCCAATACATAGGCACATAGCATTATGTCAGTGTTAGTGTTAGAGCTTTATCACGCCCATTTTGCAGACACATAGCCTGAGGCTGAGAAAGAAAACACAGCTTGCTTTGGGCTACGTAATGGTTGGTGGAATCAGACGCAGCCAGATGTGGGTCTTCAAAGCCTGAGCTTTGTCATCTCACCTCTGGAAGGGTAAATCTATGTTGTTTGTTGTCGTTTTTCCTTTAGCTGCTTGGGCCAATTCATAGAATGGATGCATTTATGCACACCTCATTTTAATCACAATTCTGATTAGAAGATCCCTTAGACATGGATTCATCCACACATGGGTAAGCCGAGGGAATGTATCCATCACTAGAAATTAATGCTGTGTTCTACTGTGCCCTACATGAGAATCAGAATCATCAGGTCTAGCAGGTAACTGGGATGGGAGCACAAGGCAGGGATGCGAAGGAGACATCCCATGTAAGGCACTTTCAGAAAACTGCTCTAAGTGCTTTTAAAGGCCATTACAGTGGCTACTCTTTCTTGAGTACCTACTATGTGCAAAGTACATTAACACAGTCTCATCAAATCTTCCAACAGCCATATGAGGGAAGTATTATCATGCACATTTTAGAGTGAGGAAACAGGTTCAGAGAAGTGAGGTGACTTGTGCAAAGTTGCAGTTACATGGTGGAGCCAAGATTGGAACTAAGGTCTGTCTCCAACTGCCCCAGGAATCAATGTCATAACTCTGACCTTCCTTCTTCTCTTAGGATGTCCTATGGTTTACATAGCTGGTTCTTGATTGATTGATGCTTAAACGGGTTCTGGTTTTTCAGCAGGGCTGGGCATTTGCGCGACTCCAAGAATGGACCCTTCCTTAAAGTTTGGGCCTTCGGCACCTCTCTTGCCTCACCTGGTTCCACTCTTGTTTTGTTTTTTGTTTTTTTTTGTTTGTTTGTTTTTGTTTGTTTTTTTGAATAACAGGCAACATGTTGATTCAACAAGCATTTACTGAACACCTGCAATCTTAAATTAGACTCCCTTTCTAGAAAGAGCCTTAGAGCTTTAGGATTCACATGAAGTCTTTTATGGAGGCTGTGTTTGCAGGAGAAACCCACGAGAGGTTAGGGAAGCAGGGCTGAGCAGGAGAAGAATCTGGGCAGACATGATTGTAACTAGAGTCCAGCCTCAGTCAGATCCCATAGGGAACTGTGGGGTGTTACTGGTCACACAGAGTTGCCCCCATCCCTGAGGCCAAGGGCTGGCTTTTTGTACCCCTGTATCAAACAGCATTGGCTGTGGGCCGCCTTAGGGGCTGCACGTGGCAAAACTTCCTACTCAATGGCAGCTCCCATTAGCAGAGCTCTGGTTCCTTCTCTGGGCAGCCTAGAGGAACAGTGAGGGACAGGTCCATGAGTAAAGAGATCTGAGTGGGATACCAGCAGCATCTACTATACCTACTATGTCTTGGGCACTGTTTGCCCTTGTGGTATTACCTACATCATCCAGAAGGGCTATCATTTGCCTAACATTTTAGACATGTGGTCAAACTGAATTCTCCCTACAATCCTATGAGGCAGATACAGCCCATTTAACAGATGAGAAAGATAAGACTCAAGGAGATGTTGGTACCAGAGCTGAGAAAAACACAAAGCCCATCTTCTGTCTCTGAGTCCGGTCCGCAGGTCTGGGCAGCTCCCTGCTGTGCTGTCTGTCCTCTGCCTTTGAGAAGGTCAGCAGGGAGGTGGAGACCCAGCCAGCAGCAGGCAATAGCTGTAGCCGGGGATGGCTTTAATGGCCCTGGCATTGGCTGACATTTGGGTTTCACTCTCTGTGGGAAGTGCACTAATTACTCCTGTTCACTCAGAAGTCCAACTTAACTACTGCTTGGGTTTTATGGAGTGCTTTGGGGTTGCCATTTCTTCAGACCACGATGGTGACAGGGAGACTTGCCTCTTCCCGAGTCTCCAGTGGTGGCTCGCATGTGGACCATTTACAAGCCAGATGCTGGGGGAGCCTCCTTGATCTGTTCTCTCTGTGCCAGGCACATCATACACAGCTCTGTCACCCTCCCAACCATCCTAGGAGGTAGGTTCAACAAATCCACCCCATTTGGCAGATGAAAAGACTGAGGTCCAGGGAGGGTAAATGGTTGCCCCAGCTCCCTGAGCTAGGAAGTCTGACGTCGGAGCCTGGATGGTCTCGACATCATGGTCTCAGCCTTTCTGACGGCCCTCAGCTCCCACAGGGAGAACTCTTCTCATTACCTGTGCTAGGTCTGCAAGGAAGATACTGAGAGCCCCACTTGGTAGGTGGGAAACTGAGTCAAGAAGCCATAGAGCAAAGAGGTGAAAAGCACAGGCCACGATGAAGTTAGACTATCTGGTTGGTAGCCTAGCCTCCTTACACACCAGCTGTGTAATGTTGTGCACCTCTCTGGACCTCTGTTTTTCATCTGTTGGGAGAATGAACTGTAAGGACAACAAACGGAGAATGGAAAGTTCTTGGCACATGCTGGCGATTGCTAGGGTAATGAGTCCAGGGTGAGTTTGGGGCACTACTTTATTTATTTATTTATTTATTTATTTATTTATTTTTTTGAGACGGAGTCTCGCTCTGTCGCCCAGGTCGGACTGCGGACTGCAGTGGCGCAATCTCGGCTCACTGCAAGCTCCGCTTCCCGGGTTCACGCCATTCTCCTGCCTCAGCCTCCCGAGTAGCTGGGACTACAGGCGCCCGCCACCGCGCCCGGCTAATTTTTTGTATTTTTAGTAGAGACGGGGTTTCACCTTGTTAGCCAGGATGGTCTCGATCTCCTGACCTCATGATCCACCCGCCTCGGCCTCCCAAAGTGCTGGGATTACAGGCGTGAGCCACCGCGCCCGGCCTGGGGCACTACTTTATGTCCCCACCTCTCCCGCTCTATGCTCTACCTGACCCCCACCTTAGTTCCTGGGTCTTTGCCCCAAAAAGCAACTGCTCTTAAGAAACTCTCTCACTTCAACAAGTGTCCTGAGTTCCTGTGACTGGGGACTGCCAAGATTTCTGCCTTTGGGGAAAAATATCATGCAGGGAACAGATACAGGAGTTGCTTCCAGGGAAAAGGGGGAGGGGTTTCTCAGTCTCGTGTTAGAGACATGCTAGTTTCTCATCACATGTTAGACAAGAAGGAATTGCTTTATCCAATGGTCCCCTCCCCATGCCCCATTTTATAGGTGGGGAAACTGAAATGGCATCAACAAATATTCACTGATGAATGAATGAATGAATGATTGAATGAATGAATGAATTAGTCACACATGAAAACAGGAGGCAACACCTGCCAAGCCCTAGGCCAAAGGCTGGGATCTGGCAGTGAGCAGAGCTGCCTGGTAAGGTGACTCAGCCTGTGTTCTGCAGACCTTTGTGGATGCTGGTCACTGGTCACAAGGTGGCAGGTGCCTCCAGAGTGGCCCTAGGTCTAGGACACAGTCTTTGCTCCCAAGGAGTCCATGAATGGCTAGTAGAGACAAAAGACGACCATTCCACGTGATAAATGAAATACAGTTGGCTCTCCATATATCCATGGTTTCACATCTGTGGATTCACCCAACCTTGGATAAAGAATATTTAAAAAAAATAACAAATGCCAATATACAATTTTAAAAATGCAAAAAATATGGTATAACAAGCATTTACAGAGTGTTTACATTGCATCAGGTATTATATGTAATCTAGAGACAATTTAAAGTATGAGGAGGATGTGTGTAAGTTACATGAAAATACTATTCCATATAGTATATGCCTTATATCAAGGACTTGAGCATTCATGGATTTTGATATCTCTGTGTGTGGTGGGAGAGGGGTGGGTGTCCTTGAATGAATTCCCCATGGATACTGAGGGACAATTACAATAACGGTAGGAGGAAGCACCCATTACATGCAGGGCACCACTCTAGGTATCAGTTGCATCTTCTCAGTAACTCTCAAAGACGGTGTTACCATTCCCATTGCATAGATGAGGAAATGGAGGCTCAGAGATGTTAGGTAATATGCCCGAAGTCACACAGGACACAGTTGATATGGAATCCAAACCCAATCTCTTTAGGTCCAGAACTGCGTGGCTGGGACTGGGGACTGCCCACCTCTTCCCTCTGCCCTTGAGGGGAAATAAGTCTCTGAAGAGGCAGGAATGTGAGCCAGCTGAGGTTTCAGCTCTGGAATGTGGTACCCGGATGGGCAGCAGTCAAAGCAAAGCCCATCCAAGCCAGAAGCTTCTTAGCAAACTCCCTCCTCCTCCCCATCTCCTCCTGGGACGGGATTCAAACTGAGCTTAGCCCCTTTGTGTTCCGTCTGGAAAGCAGATATCCTGCCCCCATGGGGGCTCCGGCTTCCATCCCACCCCCTACCTTTCCCCAGATTCCAGTGGCTTTCAGTGCCCCACCAGGCCTTCTAGACAACTGACAGTTTACACCGCCCCACGCTTTCCCCTGTGGTCAGCGCCAGGCAGCGGTAACAGGATTAACAACCCCATGGAGGCAGGTCACTTAATTAAACTTTGGGAGGAAGAAGGCCGTCTCCTCATCACAGCTCTAGGGGAAGGGGAGGGGGCTTCTAATGGGCCAAGTTGAGGGGTTGTGTCCCCCTGCAGTTAATACTGGCTCAACCAGTGGCCGAGAACATCCACCCATTATCTTCTACCTGTACATCTGTCCAACAGTCACTGAGAGCCTCACCTGTGCCCTGGCATGTGTTATCACTAGGGATAAATCAGTGGTGGACCCAACTGGCTTTCCTCTATCAACTCTTCCCACCTTTTGCCACCCCGTAGTTCATTCCTCACACAGCAGCCAGAGAGATCTGTATGAACCGTAGTGGGTGGTGTATCTGCCCTGCTTAAAACCTTCCATGCCTTCTGTGGCTCCAGCTCTCCCCCATCTCCATGTTCTCCCCTTGACATGTGACTTACACTCCACTTTTTGATGGGAGGAGGAGGTGGGGCAGTTTCCCCACCCCTTGAACCTGGGCTGGACTTGGTTTGACAAATAGAATTTTGCAGAAGTGACATTGTGACAATCCCAAGACCTTGTGGCTTCCATGCTCTCTTACTAGTAGCCCTGCTTCCACTTTGAGAATAAGCCTAGGCTGGAGGATGAGTGATCACATGGGTGAGAGCCAAGTCCACCCAGCAGTGCCATTCTAAACCCACTGCCAGGAAGCTGACCCTCAAACAAGTGGGAAAGGCCAGCCTAGATCAGCAGAGCCACCTATGTGACCCCTAGCTGACCACAGAAGCATGACAGGGCCCAGACAAAGCCAGAAGGACTATGACACCTAGACTCATGAACTAATACTTAATGCTTATTGTTTTAAGCCACGGAATGTTGGGGTAATTTGTTTTGCAGCATTATTGTAGCACTCACTGACTGAGACAGTCTCCCTTTACTTTTTGTATTAAAGCCAACCTCCCCCTTGATCTCAGCTCTTCCCACTCCTCCCCTCTCTCACTCTCGCCCCCTCACTCACTTTGCCCAGTCACAGTTTTTTTTGCATTCATTTTCTTATAAGAATCTCCCTTTTTCCTGCTTCCTGGTCTCCCTGACCATCCATTCTGGCACATGATAGGTCCTCAATAAATATTTGTTGAGTGAATGAATGAATGAATGAATGAGTTGATAAATGAACAGACACCATTACTCATTGTTCTCATGGGGTTTATCACCCAGTGGAGGAGATGATGTTACCAGATCACAAACAACCTGGCACGAAGGAGTGTGTCTAAGGAGGGAAAAGTCAGGCTATAGAGAAAGGCTTCCCCAGGAAAGGACATCAGAGCTGGGATCTGAAGGATGAGTAAACACCAATTAGGTAAAATGGGCAGGGAAGGGTATTTCAAGAAAAGAGAACAGCAGGTGCCAAGGCCCTAAGACAGGAGGGGGTGTAACAAAGTCAAAGAAATGAAGAGAAGCGGCCAGGTGTGGTGGCTCATGCCTGTAATCCCAGCACTTTGGGAGGCCCAGGTGGGCGCATCACGAGGTCAGGAATTCGAGACCAGCCTGGCCAGTATGGTGAAACTGCATCTCTACTAAAAATATAAAAATTAGCCGGGCGTGGTGGCGCGCACCTGTAGTCACAGCTACTGGGGAGGCTGAGGCAGGAGAATCACCGGAACCCAGGAGGCAGAGGTTGCAGTGAGCAGAGATCATGCCACTGCATTCCAGCCTGGGTGACAGAGTGAGACTCCTTCTCAAAAATAAAATAAAATAAAATAAAATAAAATAAAATAAAATAAAGAGAAAAGGAAAAGAAAAAAAGAATGAAGAGAAGCTGGAGAAGGGGATTTTGATTTTTTTTTTAAAGCAAAAGGAGCCTTTAAAGCCCCAAAGGATGGTCACCCCTTCCTTCCCCTGCATATGCACCCCCACCTTGGGAAGTTTGGGGCTATTTCATTAGTATTTTCCCACTCTTTCTCTTATGAGAAATAGGGGACCTGAATTACTAGAAAGCAGAAGATCCTAGGGTTTAGCTAACTACCCTCAAAACTTCTCCCAGGATTTGCTAGACCCAATTTCTTCCATTTGGGCTCAAATCTTCCAGACAAGGCCATCAGAAGCCCAAGTTGGAGCCAGTAACCTCGGAAGCTCCCATTTATGGGACTCATAGCAACTCCCATTTATGGGGCTCATAGTATTGTGGTAAGGATTTTACAAACACTTTTATCTCAGACTTCAGGACTTTCCTGGTCATAAAATAAACTAACACTAAAGCAGCTATTTTCTTTCTTCTTATGGGGCCTGAATGGCAATTAGCTTTTATCACAAAAGCAACTCTATTTGATTTAATGGCCACCTAAGGTGGGAAAGATTGTCTTGATTGATTAGTAATGTCTGCCTTGGTACCGGAAGGGAACTTGCATAACGTGTGCTCCGCATTTGCCATTTTGCTTTAGGTAGCGCCCTAGTAGTTCCTCAAAATCTCAGCTTGGTATGTGAGCCAACTCTTGAAGGTCAACTCTGCACTGACCAGCCAGGGAAAGAGTAAAGTCATTCCCACCAGGGAAAACTTCAAGGAACAAGTTTTCGGAGGGCCACAGGGCAGGACGGTGGGGCAGCAGGGAGTGACAGGAGGCATGCACTTGGAAGGGCAAGTCCAGGACAGGTCAGGGAGGGAGGACATCCAGGGCTGGCTTAAGGAAATGGCTGGGAAACTGATTCAGCTTTTGGAATTGCTTGTGTTTTCCTGCAATCCTGATGCTCATACACACAACTGAGGTAATTTCAGCTTGACAGAGTGCTGATCTGGGTGGGTTTCTCATGCTATGGTTTTGTTCCATTAGACCAGGGGTCAACAAACTGTGACCCATGGGCCAATCTGGCCTGTGGCTTGTTTTTGTAAATATGTGTTATGGGAACACAGTCACACCATTTGTTTACGTACCGTTTATGGCTGCTTTACTCAACTCTGCTACAATGACAGAGTTGAGTCATTGCAGCAAAGACCATCTGGCCTGCAAAACGGAAAATACTATCTAGCCCTTTATCGAAAGAGTTTGGAGAACCTCCAGTCATCACTATACTAGGCAGGTCACACACAGTATTGCTAATCCTCCCAGCAACCCTGTGAGATATTACAACCTGCTCTTTGCAGATGGGGAAACTGAGGCCCAACGAAGTAAAGTGACTTGCCAAGGGTCACACCATGGGTGATAGATCTAGGACTCTAACCAGATTTTTTGATGATAAATTCTGCTTCTTTTTTTTTTTTTTTCAACCTCTCACTTTAAAAGCTCTTAAGAGCTTTTTATACACATGAGAAATGGCAACTCCAAGGCATTACCCACTGTCAATTTGGGGCAGCGAGAATATGGGTGGCGGTTGGTAGTTCCTTTGTCATTTTCTGTTATTTCTCTTATTACTACTATTGAGTGATTACAAGGTGCCAGACACTTTATCTATCATTCTCAGTTTGTCCTCACAATAGTGCTATGAGATATGGTGCATTATTGTCCCCAGATTACAAATGGGGAAACTGAGGCACAGACAGGGGTTGCAATTTTCCCAGGTCCTCTTAGGACGGCACTGGGATTTGAACCCTGGCTTGTTCTGGTCTTTGCCTGCAGGCTTCGTCTGTCTTTGGAGAACATCGATCCTGTTCCTCCCATACTTTTGTTTTCATGGTCCAGATTCTCCGAAATGTTCCCATATGTTATCTCCTATGTGTGTTGTGCGGGAAGGGGTGCAGGTGGTGAGTGCAGGAGGGCTTTATTATCCCTGTTTTCTTAATGGGGAAACTGAGGCCCAGAGGGGGGAAGTGGGCCTGAGTAGCTGGGACAGGAGGGCAGGGCTCCATGTGTGGCTCGGTCCTTCCTCCCGCCCTTCGATCAGAGCTAAGCGCCATCCTCTCCCCTCCCTCCCGCGGCCCCCCTCCTCCAGACTCATCCCCCACAGGGAGAGCCGAGGAGGACAGTGATGGATTTGGGCCAGCCTTCATTTTCATTCTCGATCCCTGCATCTCGCGCTCGCTCTCCCTCCCTCTCCACTTCTCCTCCTGCAGACGGATGACAAGTGAGAATGTCTGTGACCCAGAGAAATTATCTTCCCTTCTCTTTCACCGCATAATTTTCTGCCCTCTCGTCTGGACAAGCCTGGGTGATTTTTAGCTACAAAAAAGGGGGAAAATTATCATTCAGGAAAAAAAAAATAGAAGGAGGCTCCTAGCCATCCAACAGACAGGCTGTCTTCTGGGTGAAAATGAGAATCTCCTGTCTTGTGAACTCGGTGGGGGACTTTGCAGGGGGTGTTCACACCGCAGGATGACTGTGAGCACCCCGGAGGGCCAGGCCCATGCCCCAGCACATTCTAGAGGCTTGAGGCCCCTGCAGATTTTTCTGGGAGTACCCCAATGTCTACCACATGTGGGTGTACACCTGGAGGATTTCATGGGGGAGGCAGCACAGTCATGAGGCCCCTGTGATTCCCTTGCATCACCTCACTCTCCAGCCCTGTGCCTAGGACCTGGCAACTTTTCCCCAGCCTGTGGCTTTCTGGAAGTTTCTTTCTCCCTCCCCACCAATCACATACACCTGCATGCCCAGACACTACGCTACATGCTCGGGGCCTGCTCCACAGGTCAACATACTAAGTCTTATTATTTCTAAAAAAAAAATCTCTATTTTATTTTTCTGATTTAAAATTTCAAACATTACAAGAAAAGGTTTAGCAAGTAAAGGTCCATCTTTTTTCTCAACCCTTTTAGGATAACCACTGCTAATGGGTTGGTATCTGTTTTGCCAGACTTTCCCATGCAAACATCATGATTATAAAAAGGTACACACACATGCATATGCACACGCACGTGCACACACACACACACACACACGATTCACTGAGTTCCTCACTCAGCACTGCCATTTTCTGTGTGACCTTACGCAGGTTGCTGAACCTCTCTGAATCTGCTTCCTCATCTGTAAAACAGAAACAGTTATAGATTGTAGGTTGTAGGGAAAACTGAATAAATTAACACGTGTAATGTGCTTAGAACAGTGCTGAGTACATAGAAAGGATAGAGGAAGAGCACTGGAATACACTCTTCCCAGACCCAGCACTTTAATCAGCCTAGCCTCTCTTTGTTTTACATATTGTGAATTGTTTAGGAAAATAGGTTTTCCTGCTTAACACAGCACACACACACACACATACACACACATTAGTTGTAAAGCTGCTAGCACTGGGGCTGAGCAAGGCTGTGGTTAGCAGACTAAGCTGGTGTACTCCCACTGTGTGACCTTGGATGAGTGACTTTACCTATCTGGGTCCCAGTTTTGCCATCTATAAAATGGGAATAATAATAGCATGGAGGGCTCTTGTGAGGAGTAACTTAGGTAAAGTGTGTAAAATAGACAGCAGTGCCTGACATACCATAAAGATTGCCCCCAAATAGTAGCTGTTGTTGTTATGAATTAGCTATGAACATGACTTTGCATTGAATGGATTAGAGGGGGTGTGTACTTATTCAGGGCCTAGAAGCAACTATGACCTCCCTCTTTCCCAACCCCTACTGTCACTTTGGGGTCAGAGATGGGCCTCATAGGGTTAGTGAAACCTCTGGAATTATGCGCATGCACACCGCTTTTGCATCCACTAAAAACCGTTTTCTTCTCAGGCAAAGATCTTTCTCTTTCATCAGATACTCAAAGTGGTCATTAACCCAAGAGAGTTAAGAACCCCTGAGGCTTAACACAGGCTCTCTGCTTCCTGCAAAGATCTGCTTTTCTGCTAAGGAGAAGCCAGAGTTTGAATCTCTAAGCAGTGTTCTGAGGACTCTTGATGGTCCCAGAAATCCTTCCAGGGAACCTGGGGGCCTCTCCCTTTCCCACCTCATATTTTTGTACAACTAGATTTTCTTCATATGCCTCAAGCAAAACAACAGGTCGCAAAAGTGGGTTTAAGAATCCAGGTGTTTCTGGGAGCGGTGGCTCATGCCTGTAACCTGAACACTTCGGGAGGCCGAGACAGGTGGATCACTTCAGCTCAGGAGTTCAAGACCAGCCTGGGCAACACGGTAAGAACTTGTCTCTACTAAAAATACAAAAAATTAGCCAGGTGTGGTGGCGTGTGCCTGTGGTCCCAGCTACTCAGAAGGCTGTAGTGGGAGGATCACTTGAGCCTGGGGGCGGAGGTTGCAGTGAGTAAGCTGAGATCATGCCACTGCACTCCAACCTGGGTGACAGAGTGAGATCCTGTCTCCAAAAAAAAAAAAAAGAAAGAAAAAGAAAAAGAAGAAAAAGAACCCAGGTGTTTTCTATTAAGTCAGACATTTGCAAAAATGTAGAACAATGCCACTCTGCAACCTCCGCCTCCTGGGTTCAAGCAATTCTCCTGCCTCAGCCTCCTGAGTAGCTGAGATTATAGGTGCGCACCACCACGTCTGGCTAATTTTTTGTATTTTTAGTAGAGATGGGGTTTCACCACGTTGGCCAGGATGGTCTCAAACTCCTAACCTCAGGTAATCTGCCCACCTCGGCCTCCCAAAGTGCTGGGATTACAGGTGTGAGCCACCGTGCCTGGCCCTCCTCATTAAATTTTTATTTTTAGAAAATTATTTGCTTTCTATAAATATGTTATATGTTAGTATATAATGACTTTATAATTATTATTTTAAAAATTAAGCCTTTTAAATGTCTCAGTTTTAATTTCTAAAACAGTAAATATGGATACACATAGCTTACATAAATAAAAGCTCTTTGAGATCCTCAATATTTTATGAGTGTAAAAGTGTCCTGAAACCCCAAAAGTTTGAGAACTGCTGTTCTTTGGAAACCTACCTGGTTGTGATAGAAGGAGCTGTGACACATCCAGCTCTAACCCAGGGCTTTGGCTATGGGGCATTCTGGGAGATGTGGTAGGCAAGGCAGGCTAGTGGCAGAAAAAGGGGTGGATTAAGGATCAGGCCAGCTGAACAGTAGCCAGAAACAGCCACCCGTAAGGGTCATAAAATCAGCAATGGATGTGTAATAATATGGAGAAAATAGTGTTTTGTCCAATTCCTCTCAGGAGAGTCTTGTATGAGGCTGTTACAGGGATAAGTAGTGAGATCCCCAAGAGGCTTTCTCAAGTAACAGTGATGATTGCTAAACTGCCCTGTAAGGACTGTGTACCTAGTAACTAACTGCAAGGCCATTCTTTGCTGAAGAGGTTATGCAAGTTTGGGTCCAGAACGGAATTGCTGCAGTTCCTGGAGGAGAGGCTGAACTTTGCCACCAGAGGACACTCTTTCTCGCCATCTCCCCTAGAAGCTCTCTGCTACCCCTTAAAACAGTGCAGAGCAAATACCTTTACTGGCTTTTACTTGAAGGGGCAGCAAGTTATTGGTTATACTGGGCAGAAAATGTGGGCTGATTGTAAAGAAGGAGCAAATGGAGAAGCAGGTGAAATCAGCAAAGAGGCAAATCAGGACTCCTGGGCAGGAAAGGGCTCCCTTATTCATCAAGAGTGAGTTTGTGGATCACTCTGTAAGACTCAAGACCCAAGGTGAAAACATGAACTCTCCCGTTAGGAAATGATGCTTGCTGAGAAATATCCTCAGGGGCCACAAGTAAGGTGAAAATCCCAAATCTGCTCGGAAAGGAGGCTGGAGATAGGAAAGGAGTTTCCTTGACCAACTAGCATGGATCATTTAATATGGAATGCTTTATCTTTAAGAAATAGATTCAAAAAATTCAAACCCAAGGCTGACTCACACAGAACCTGGCTGTCTTTGCAGGTTGGAGGTGAATAATCAAGATACCTGTCTGCCTTGTTAAAGAGGCTAAAATTCTTCTCCTTCCCTTCTGTCCCTAGTTTTCCCTGAACAAGCAGTGCAGTTACTGCCCACCTGAGGAAGTTCTGAATGCTCTTAAAAATGTTCTGGAATGCAGCTGTGAAGCCAGAGGTATTTCTTTCACAGATAAGCTCCGGGGCAGTTAGCCACAAGAGGGGCAAGTCATGCCAGGCTCTGCCAATGGGAAGGGCACAGGTTTTGGGATTGGGGGAGCTGTGGATGACTCCCAACTCTCAAATCTTACTTCTAGAACATCCCAGAACATTCCTGTGGTATGTTCTTGGTTCTGTCACTGAATCTCCATCAGCCAGGGTTCTGGGAGGGATGAAATGCTAATTGAGGGGGAGTTAAAGGAACAAATGTGTGGATGAGGTTAAGAGACATCAGAAAGGGGAGTGAAGCTACTTGGGACTGGCAGCAGTGAGGAGCCATTACACCTTGTTCCTATAAGGCAAGGTGAAGCAGAAGCTACTAGTGGTCCCCAGGGAGCTCATGATTTATTAATAGGGTCAATTTCACCCCGAAAAGGGGCAAAAATTGATTATTGGGAGGTGAAACAAATCTTACTCTGTATGTAGAAAGCAGAAATATACATACAGCACATAAACAGCAACACAGTATATCTGCAGTATTGTAATTTCATGGGGAGGATGAGTGATTAGAAAAAAGTCTAGAAAGTCTTCTTAGAGGGATGATCATTTTTAAAAAGCTTGGCTGAGTGTAGTGGCTCACACTTGTAATCCCAGCACTTTGGGAGACTGAGGCAGGCAGATTGCTTGAGCCCAGGAGTTTGAGACCAGCTGGGAAACAGGGAAACCCCCATCTCTGCAAAAAATAGAAAAATTAGCTGGGTGTGATGTCGCATGCCTGTGGTCTCAGCTACTCAGGAGGCTGAGGTGGGAGGATCACCGGAGCCCAGGAGGTCAAGGCTGCAGTGAGCTGTGATTGTGCCACTGTACTCCAGCCTGGGCAACAGAGTGAGACCCTGTGAAAGAAAGAAAGAAAGAAAGGAAAAGAAAGAAAGAAAGAGAAGGAAAGAAAGAAAGGAAGAGAGAGAAAGAGAAAGAAAGGAGAGAGAAAGAAGGAGAGAAAGAAATACAGAAAGAGAAAGAAAGAAGAAAGAAAGAAAGAGAGAGAAAGGAAGGAAGGAATGGGAAAGAAAGGAAGGAAGGAGGGAGAAAGAAGGAAAGAAAGAGAAAGAAAAAAGAGAAAAAAGAGAAAGAGGAGAAAGAAGGAAAGAAATACAGAAAGAGAAAGAAAGAAGAGAGAAAGGAGAAAGAAAGAAGAAAGAAAGAAAGAGAAAGAAAGGAAGGAAGGGGAAAGAAAGAAAGAGAGAAAGAAAGAAGAAAGAGAGAAATAAGGAAAGAAAGAAATACAGAAAGAGAAAGAAAGAAACAAAAAGAAAAAGAAAAGGAAAGAAAGGAAGGAAGGAAAGGAAAGGAAGGAAGGAAAGAAGGCCAGCCTCAGCCTCCCAAAGTGCTGGGATTACACGTGTGAGTCACCACGCCAGGCAAGGCATGGATGTTTTCCAAAAACTCCCTAGGGGATCTTGATATTTATCTAGGTCCGGTCTGAATCATATGATATGCTTTATAACTATTATCTACCCATACATGTGTACATTTCTATCCTTCCTATGTTTTTTAAACTGAGGTATAAATTAGATAATGTACACATGTTGATGAATTTTGATCTAGGTATACACTGTGTACCTATCACCCAGATTAAAATATAGAACGTTTCTCTTCCCCAAAGGTCATTGCTATCCTGTTACCACCTTCAGTTTTGCACGTTCTTGAACTTCAGGCCAGTGCTGCTGTGGATGCCAGTGGTTTCTTTTTCACTGCTGAGCTGTATTCTGTTGTGTGGATATACCACAATTTTATTATCCATCCTCTGTTGACAGGGTTGTTTCCAGTCTTTCACTACTGCAAATAATGCTGCTATGGACATTTGTATATAGATCCTTTGTCTATATTCTTATTTTAATGACATTTTATTCCTTTCTCCTTTCATGTTATACTCCATGTCCAATTTTCTTTTTTTTTTCACATCTGCAACATATTTATTTTTCAAAGGAATGGATTTTGAGAGAAAATAACATGGGGCAGAGATATGGAACAGAAAATAAATACAAGGCCCGGTGTGGTGCTCATGCCTGTAATCCCAGCACTCTGGGAGCCCAAGGCAGGCAGATCACTTGAGGCCAGGAGTTCGAGACCAGCCTGGGCAACATGGGGAAACCCCGTCTCCACTAAAAATACAAAAATTAGGTGGATGTGGTGGTGCACGCCTGTAATCCCAGCTACTCGAGAGGCTGAGGTAGGAGAATCACTTGAACCCAGGAGGCAGAGATTGTAGTGAGCCGAGATCATGCCACTGCACACTCCAGCCTGGGTAACAGAGTGGAACTCTGTCTAAAAAAAAAAAAAGAAAGAAAAGGAAAGAAATACAAATGTAGGCGGTTTTGCTAACTGTTTTATAACCATAACAAACTAGTTCAGTGACTGTCCTGTATAAAACACAATGAAGCTTCCAAGATCAAGGCTAAAAATTTCAGTCTCTGGTTTTTGGGACTCAGGGTGCAGTCCTTGATTTCGGATGGATCACTGGGTGCGTGGTACAGTCCATGCTTTTAACCAGATTTGAACAGAAGAGTGGCCACTTGGCCCAGGTAGAAACAGATGAAGCATTTGGTTTCATGTGTCACATAACTCCTGAAGTTCCTCCCCATGATGCAAGCCGCATGGGACTGGACTTCTTGTCAAATTCCTTCTTGATATGAGCTGGAATGTCCTTCTCTATATTCTATTTCTCTAGCGCCTGAGTAGTGCACTCCACCAAGTCCTGTTGCATCTCTTCCAAGATGTCAGCATTTTTTATTATGGCCTTTAGGTTGCACATGGTTACCTAGGGAGCAAGCAACCCTCCCACCTTGGCCTCCCAAAGTGCTGTGATTACAGGCATGAGCCACCATGCTCAGCTATGTCTGGAGTTTTCTAGCTGCAGAACGACCATGTCCTGGTTAAAATGCAGCTGGAAGCACATTCCCTAGAGGCAAATGTGGCATGTAGAATATCCTATATTATTTCTGGGACAGCTACCTTGACATCCATCTTTTATGATAATCCTTTGGTCTTAGATGATTCCAGCACATGAGGCAGTATGTGCACAGTAGGTAGATATTTCTTCAACAAATGTTTGTTGGTGTATTAGTCCATTCTCACACTGCTAATAAAGACATACCTGAGACTGGGTAATTTACAAAGGAAAGGGGTTTAATTGATTCACAGTTCAGTATGGCTGGGGAGGCCTCAGCAAACTCACAATCATGGAGGAAGGAGAAGCAAACATGTCCTTCTTCACATGGCAGTGGAGAGAAGAAGAATGAGTGCCTAGTGAAGAGGGAAACCCCTTATAAAACCATCAGATCTTGTGAGAACTAACTCAATATCATGAGAACAGATGGGGGAAATGGCCCCCATGATTTAAGTATCTCCACCTGGTCCCTCCCACAACACATGGGGGAACTAAAATTCAAGATGAAATTTGGGTGGGGACAAAGCCAAACTATATCAGTTGATTACAAGTCAATATGCCACACACTTAGGCAGAGAGCTGCGTATTTAGCATTTACACTATAGGGTGGATGCCTTCTCCTTGGGCATGATGGTTTCTCTTGGCCCAATTGGACCTTAACACTTGCTGGCATTAGATTAAGTGGACAGGATGGGGACTGCCCTGATGCCGGATTCTTGGAACCAAGGCTCACAGTTTCATCTCATCCCATGTCATTTGTTCTCTCAGCCTTCCATGATTTTGAGACCTTAACTCTGCTATCTAGAACCTGTGGCCATCCGTATGATTTACATTTCATTGCAGACTTTTACTTTACAAGAATTTACATGGGACTTGAGGGAACACAAAAAGCAAATAAACGTTCTTTTTTGTGTGTTTGTTTGTTTTCTAACACTGTATAATGAATCTGCACATCCCATAACTTTTCTTTCATATTCCACAAAAAGTTTATTGTCACAATATGCCTCAAATCCTGGAAGCCCAGGGGATAGCAGAGCTCATGTGGAAAGATGTTCTACTTTCCACTGTTGTTCACTTTCCATCATCTCCAGCCCTTCCCCATCCAGGCTCAATGGATACACAAATTAAACCCCAGCAAGCAGTCTTTCTGCAATGGTGCTGTCTGTCCACCAAACTTGCTTTTGGGTGAAATAAGGATCACATATAAAATGAGGATTCTTGGAACCAAGGTTCACAGTTTCATCTCATCCCATGTCATTTGTGCTCTTAGCCTTCCATGATTTTGAGACCTTAACTCTGTGCTATCTAGAACCTGTGGCCATCCGTATGATTTATATTTCATTGCAGACTTTTACTTTTCATGCCTATCTTGATTCATTTCA
The DNA here is from genome assembly GCF_000001405.40 of Homo sapiens. NCBI lineage: Eukaryota > Metazoa > Chordata > Mammalia > Primates > Hominidae > Homo > Homo sapiens. The sequence goes on from NC_000012.12 coordinate 113,791,325, forward strand.
TCTTAGCCCTTCCCCCAAAATATGGAACTTGAAGTGGAGATATTTAAGTAAGCAATAGATTCATTTTACCATCAGAGATGGCTCTTTCAAGCATGGTATCCATCTTAGAGTCTTAAGGCTGCTGCTTTTGAATTCAGACTCACCCATATTGTTATTCCCCCATCCACAGCCCCAAACCCTTACTCCACAGATCAACTCAAGAATGCATTTGAGAGCAAGCAACAGAAAAGCCAACTATGGCTTAAACAGATGGGAGCCGTTCTTCTTATATAATGAAGAGTCTGGAGGGAGGTGACTGGTGTGGATTAAATAGCTTGTTTGTCTTTGTGATTCTTTTTTTTGTTTGTTTTTTGAGACAGAGTCTCGCTCTGTTGCCCAGGCTGGAGTGTAGTGGTGCCATCTTGGCTCACTGCAACCTCTGCCTCCCAGGTTCAAGCGATTCTCATGCCTCAGCCTCCCGAGTAGCTGGGATTACAGATGTGTACCACCACGCCCTGCTAATTTTTGTATTTTTAGTAGAGATGAGGCTTCACCATGGTGGACAGGCTGGTCTCAAACTCCTGACCTTAAGTGATCCACCCATCTTGGCCTCCGAAAGTGCTGGGATTGCAGGCATGAGCCACCGAGCCCAGCTTCTGTCTTTATGATTCTATTGGCCTTTGCCTCAAGGTTGGGAAATAGCTGTCATGGCTCCAGACATCACATCTGCCTCTGTTAAAGAAAGACAGAAAGAAGGCAGGAAGGGAGAGGGCCTACAGTTTCACTATCATTTTAATTAGGAAAACAAAAACTTTTCTGGAAAGCTCCTAGCAGATTTCTGTTTTTGTTTTTTTTTTTTTTTTTTTTTTTTTTTTTTTTTTGATGGAGTCTTGCTCTGCTACCTACGCTGGAGTGCAGGAGTGCAGTGGCACGATCTCAGCTCACTGCAACCTCTGCCTTCCGGGTTCAAACGATTCTCCTGCCTCAGCCTGCCAAGTAGCTGAGATTACAGGCACCTGCCACTACTCCCAGGTAACTTTTTGTATTTTGAGTAGAGATGAGGTTTCACCATGTTGGCAGGCTGGTCTTGAACTCCTGACCAGCGATCCACCTACCTTGGCCTCCCAAAGTGCTGGGATTACAGGCGTGAGCAACGGCACCCAGCCAAATTTCTGTTTATGTCTGATTGGCTAGAACTCTGTCTTGGACACCCCCTAGCTGCCATCAGGGCTGAGAAATCAAGTGGAAGGCAGCACTGGTGAAGGGGATTAGAAATAACTGGTTATCCCACAGTGTCTGCCGTGTCCTGTTTTCACCCCATCTCCTGCAACTCTCTGTTGCGTCATTGAACCTTCCAGTTTCAATGAATGGCAAGCTCTCAACAGTTGCTTCTACGAGGCTAAATATCTCTCCAGTTCATTCCGCACATGGATTGTGTTCCAGAAACCTGGGCCAACTTTACATCCTCAAACACAAAGTCTCCCCGCTTCTGGACCTTTGAACTTTCTTTTCCCTCCACCCAACATACTGCTGGCCCCAGCTCCATTCTCAGCAAACATGGGTGGTATCTTCTTAACCTTCAAGTCTTGGCTGAAATGTCACCTCCTCAGGGTGACCTTCCTGGGCCACTGCAACCTAAAATCAGCCCTTTCTTTACCCCTCATCCCTATCTGAAATAAATGTTTTTGTTCCTGGCTTATTATCTGTTTTTGCAGGAGACCTCAGAAGAACTTTCTCTCCTACTATAGTATGCCCACGTGCAAAAAACAGTGTAAAGATATTGATAAATGTTTGTTGAATGAATGTGTGAATACGTGAAAGGGAGGAGGGAAAAATCCCAATAGTCTCCGAACTGTTGGTATATATTGTCAAGTGCGGACCATGGTCCAAATAAGTACAGAACTTTAAATGGTTACCACAGCACTTGTTAGGAGTAAAATGCATGTACATGCAAACACGCACACACACACACACACGCCAAAATAAGATAATAAGAAAAAAGCAGAGGAATATTGAAGTAAGGGAAAGAAGTAGAGGCAAATTTTGTTGCCAGCATTTTTGCTTCATTATTCCATCTTAAGGAGTACGAGGCTGAAGGCAGGCGGCCTCACAGAACAGATAACAGAATTTGTCATTTGCAGTGGCCGTGTTATTTTTAGATCCAAATGCATTTCTTTCAACGTGGACTCCATATTGCTGGCTGCCAGCTCATGCAAATCGGGCCTCCATATGGAGGGACCAGGCTCTATTTTACACGTAATGCACACGTGCATCTTTGTTTGAAATAGGTTAGCTTGAAAACAGCCCTGCTCCACCCAGCTACAGGGGTCTCAGTGCATGTGTGAAGTTGGTGTTTCATCACTGTGGCAACTTCCCACCTGGATGCCCCCTTTCTAAGGGTCATCTGCATGCAAAGGTCATTCCCAGTACACTTCAGCCCTCCAAGACCAGGGACTGTGTCTCTTATGTTTGCCACTCTTGTGCTGAGCAACTAGTGGTGTTTATTAAATGCTCATAGCATTAATATCTGAACCCCACCTTGTTTTGCTCTTTCAGAAGCCTCTGCACCTCTCACATGGAGTTCATTCAATTCGTTCTTGTCTTCTGAACCCCACATGCCATTTTAAGCTCTTTCACCACAGGGTCTGCAGCTCTGCCCCTCAGCGCCAAGCCCCGTGCCTGGTCAATCACAGATCTCTGCAAACAGCGATTCCAGAGTTGATGCCCAGCTTTCAAAATGCTCACAGCAATTTCCCTGCCTCTGTGAACTCTGAACAAAGAGAGGTGTTGCTTTTTGGCAAAGGAGGTTGTCAAGAAGCTTGGGGAAAGAAGCCTCCCTCTGGCCCCTAACCTCCCTGAACCTTCCTTTGCCCCATCTTCTGCTTCTGGAATATTCTGGATTTGGAGAACATCAGTTACACATGAAGGGAGACATGAGGGAACCAAGTGGGTGGAGAGACAAGCAGAAATCTGTCTCTGCAAAGGCACCGTCTAGAGTCTCCTCGAACCCTTGGGGCAAACCCCATAGACCTTCCTTTATCTTCATCCTTCCTGGACAATCTCAGCAGCCGAGACCTCCTCCTCTCCATGCACAGTGCCCAGCCCCTCCTTCTCCCATTGCTGGACTCCATCCAGCTAGCCATGTTTGCTTCTGTGGAAATTTCCCCCACCCAAATTCTTCTCTGGCCCCAACTATCCTGGCCACGAAGGGAGAGTGAACTCTGTGTAGAACCAACTGAGCCTGCTGTGCAGAAGACAGACCTTGCCTACTTAGCAGGAGGGCAGAACCAACCTCCTCGCAGGCCCGGGTAGCCTCAGGTGCCCATTGCCAGGGAGCAAATGGTCAGGACCTCGGTGGCATTCTCCCTCTCTCTCAAGGACAGGAGGGTGACCATCTGGGCCTTGGCCAGAGTTCCATGGAGGAAGCCCCAGCCTTTTCTCTCCAGCAATGATGCCGTTATCAAAACCAGGAGTGGGAATTTGAATAAAAAGGAGAGGGGAGAGTCACCACCCCCCCCCTCCCCACTGTGGTTTCCAGGCGACACGTCGTCTGTTGCGGTCGCTGTCATACAATCCCTTTCCCCGTAAGACGGCGGGTCCCACAGGGAGAAGGGGTGAAGAGGAATATTTTATCAGCCGTGTACATATGTAACCAGAAACGGGGCTGAAAAGCAAAACCTCGTTTCCCTGAATAGGGGGAAGGAGGGAGGGGGTGGGGATGCTGGTGGAGGTGGCAGAAGGGACTTATCTCTAGGAGGTCAACAGTGGGAACATGCGGTGACTGATTTCCACCCTCCGTCTTGTCAACGCGGGGAGCGTCTGCACAAACGGCTGTTTGGGGCACAAAGTTTAAAAGGCATCTTGTTTTTGTATTTAGATATAAGAACCCAATATACATATCATAGGTGAAAGAAAAAAGAATAATAAATATTCTAAAACCATGCCAGAATGGGGTGGTTGAGTCTTTAGAGAATGGGACGCGAATTTCTCATTCATGGGCTACTTCTCACTCATGGTTTGAAGATTACTTTGCTCCTTTGGGGAAGAAACCCTAAGCACTGGGAAGCCTGCCTTCCTCTGTATTGAAGTCTCATGTTCATTCTACAACACGGGGCAGTGCGGCACTGGGCTGGAGAAAGTCCAGCTTCCCCGTCCAGGTCTGAGAAGCCTGGAGGCCTGGTCAGCATTAAATGTCCAAGCATGCAGGGCAGAAGAGATGATTTCATCTCTGCTCCAGAAAAGGCAGCCATCTCGCCCCTTCCCCACTGAGCACCATTCTCAGAGGACCTTAGCAATGAGTTAAAAGAAAACAATTGTGATGACACGCTAGCTTTGCCCAAGAGTTTAGTGCGAATGCAACTAACCTTGCAGACAGTCACCAGCCCGCTTGCCTGGGGGAAGTGACCACTCACAAGGTACTTCGCGAAGGAGGCTGGTTTATTTATGCCGCTTTGTTTATTGTGCTGGTTGGGGAAGTCTAGCGGGAGAAGGTGAACCCGTGCATTCTCTGGGAGGCATTTTTCTGGTGACTGGTCTGTAAGCCCATTTCCAAAGAACACTGCATGAAAATGATCAGATGTGAAGACAGCCATCCTGCAACCACTCTACCCAAATGCTCGGGTGGGGCTCCTGTTACTACTGGCTCATTCAAAAGTTTGGGACGTTAGGAAATAAAAAAGTTAAGCAAAGAGGAATGGAGACAGAATGAGAGGGAGAGAAGAGGAGAAAGAGAGAGAGAGAGAGGTGAGAAACGCAAGAACCCATCTGGACCATGCATCACATTGAAATTGCCCCGCATTAAAAATTCACCAGCCAGTGAATTTTCAAGGGATTTGTAGTAATTAGATGACAAAATGCTGGCAAATCTCAGGCTTGCCAAAGATGTTACTCAGGGGTCAAAGACTCGACACTTTCGGCTGGGTAATTTGTAAGTGTCAATCACTCGCAGCCATCAGAGAGGATGCAGCGATCTAACGGCTGCATTCTAACTAAGTCAGGCGAGCCCGCAGCCGGCCGGCTGCCAGCAAGCCCCCAGACCCCGCGGCCTGCTGCTGTCTGCCCCGCTCCCGGCTCGGGCACAGACAGCGGCTGCGGCCTCGCCAGGGACTTGGAGCCAGGAGGGCCGACCCGAGTTTCCAACTTCTAGTTTGATTTGATCCCCCTTTATTCTTTTTTGAAAGCTGCGGAGGCTTGCCAGGAGTTGAACTTCCCACCTTCGTGGAGGACAAAGTTCCCTGTTGTGCTGGTGCCATCAAAGGGTGACATGGGGCTCTCTGCATTTGTGCAGGGTGGCCATTTCAGTGTCAAGGAGACTAGGTTATCCTGCTTCGAGCTTCGTGATACTCAGCCCCTGGGACCTCAGTCTTCTGATCTGTGAAGTGGGGATAAGATGACTTACCTTGAAGGGTGGTGATGACTAAGGAGGGAGCCCGCGGCGCTCTCTGCCTACAAACTCTCGTTCACTCCATATCCATGTGCCTTTGTCCAGGAGTCATTCTGGGCACTGGGGACTCAACAGAGACCAAGATAACACACCCCGCCCTCATGGAACATTCTAGTTGGGGAGGGAGGAGAAGCAATAAACAAATAAATATAAAGTATGTCAGAGGATGTTAAGTGCTAGGAAGAAAATCAAAGGAGCTGGGGACAGAGCGTGTTGGGGGTGGTATTTTACACAGGATGGAAGGGAAGGCCTCTCTGATGAGGCCACATCTGAGCAGAGACCTGGAGAAAAGAAGGGGACAGAGAGCATAAGGGACTGCAAGGTGGCCCTAGTGGCTGAAGTGGAGCAGACAATTCTAATCACAATGAGAATTGTTACCATGAGGCTGGAGACCACTGGGCAAAGGCAGCAGGGATACGGTGGGGGCTCGGCTCCAGAAGCCTTTGACACTTTGAAGCTTCAAGAAGCTGGACTCGTGTTGCCCAGCCTGATGACCCTGATAACCCCGATTCCAGAGCCCTATGAGGGCAGAGAAAGCACCCCGAGATGCCCACGTGTGGTGCCTGACCCTGTCTATGGGCCAGGGCTGACACTGGCGGGAGGGTCTCATTCCAGTTGCTGGCACTGATTGAAAGCGAGCTGCAAAAGGGACCAGTGAGCCTGAGGGGAAATTGATGCTGTCACAGCTGCAGCCGGCTGGGACTTCCTGGACCCCAGACCGGAAGCTGTTTGTAAGATGATGGCCCCGTTTTCTCCCTCCCTGCTCCGGCCCATCCGGGTATCTTTTGGAACTAACACTGACTTCAGAGTCAGATGGACAGGGGTGGGGAGTGGGGGTGGATGGGCCTGAAGCCTGAGGCCTGAGTCTGTGGTTTCTGAGCTGTATGACCCTGGGCAAGTCACCACACCTCTCTGAGCCTCAATTGCTGCACCTGAAAAATGGGCATAAGAGCCTCCCTCACATGGTTATGGGCCAGTATTGTTAATGAGCATCTGGGGGAGGGCAGATTCTCAAAAGTAGCACTTCCAACCCCCCTATAACTAAAGATGATCACACCCCTGGCTATCACAATCAAAGCAAGAATTCTGCAGCTGAACCACACATTAGGGAAATGGACCAGGGGGCAAATTGCTGCTCTAAAAGATAAGGAGCTGCAATAGGATGTCTTTGTGCGGTTTGCTGTTCAGTTTGCAAAATAAATGTCCCAAAGTGGGATCTCTGTGCGGTGTCTTTTTTCGTATTTGGGGAATGCTTGTCTTGGAGCCAGGGCCAGTGTTTGTAAATCACTTTCTCCTTTGAGTTCTTCCTGGCCATTTCATATTTTTGTGTGTGTGGTGGGGGCAGGGCACAGTGTGGGGTATATTTGCTTCCCCTCACCCGCCTCCTTCCTGGGCCGGGGTCTCCATCCCAGCCAGCCTTTGCTGCAGGTTTAACTGGGCTGTGAAACTACTCAAGGGGAAAATGAGAAACTACCCAGTGTTTCACGGGAGGCAACGGGCTGGGCCTTCCGAGCTCTGATGGCAAACCCTCTCCAGCCGCCAGCCATGGATGCAGAGAGCCCCTGGATTCCCTCCGACCAGGGGGCACGTGTTCCCTGCCCCCACTGAATCCTCGTGGTGCTTCCCCACATCAGGAAGGCGACAAGGCCCACTTGAGATGCAAATAAAAATTAGCAGCGGTGGCAAGCTGGCCCATCTATTCCCCATGGCCCCTCATGAATATCGCTCGTCTTTGCAGTTTAGATGGGGAAATTTCGAGCTGACCTAGCATCTGCTTAAGAATCGATGGGACCAAGAATAGGAATGTAAATAATAAGAACAGGCACCACGCCAGTGGTGGCTGTTTATTGAGCACTTACTATGTGTAGGCCCTGTGTTGAGGGGCCCCGGACAAGCTTCCTCCCGGTCATCCTCAGGGCAGCTGTAGCATGACTGTCACCTCATCAGCGAGGCCGTGCCTGGGTCCCGAGTGAGGGCGCTCCCTGACTGATGCGGTGCCTGCCCCTTGCTCTGACGACATTGCAGCACCCTCTGCCTGACATTACGTTCTGACTTGCGGAATGTCTGTCTCTGGGAGTGAGATGTGAGCTTCAGGGGGGCGGGGCTTTCTGTCTGTTCTCTTCACCGCGGTATCCCCAGTGCCTAGAACAGGGCTTGGCACTTAGGTGCCTTTCAATACACACTTACCAAATAAGTGGATCCCCACTTTATAGAGACGGAACGAGGGCCACGAGGATCCCAGGGGTAGGTGGGCAGGGCTGGATCTCGGCCACAGTGCAGGGCCATGGGCCACCTTCTGCCCACCCACTCCTGGACATGTCCTTTAGCATTTAACATTTGATCAGGAGAGGGGGCACTCACCCAACCTACACCCTGTTTCCTCACAATTCAAACCTTTCCCTTCTGGCTGACTCACACCTTCCAGCAAAGGGCCGGGTGACCGCACAAGCTGGGAGAAGATGCTCAGAGTATGCTTTTGAAGCTCATCTCTCACTCTCTTTTTTTTTTTTTTTTTTTTGAGATAGAGTCTTGCTCTGTCACCCAGGCTGGAGTGCAGTGGCAGGATCTCGGCTCACTGCAAACTCCACCTCCCGGGTTCAGGCCATTCTCCTGCCTCAGTAGCTACTGAGTAGCTACTGAGCGCCAAGTAGCTGGGACTACAGGCACCCGCCACCACGCCCAGCTAATTTTTTGTATTTTTAGTAGAGACGGCATTTCACCATGTTAGTCTGGATGGTCTCACTCTCCTGACCTCGTGATCCACCCGCCTCGGCCTCCCAAAATGCTGGGATTACAGGTGTGAGCCACTGCGCCCGGCTGAAGCTCATCTCTTGATGGGCTCTGACTTCCATAGGCTGAGTGGTGCAGACAGAGGCCCCGCCCGCCGGGAGCCCCCTGCCAGGAGCACATGCAGGCGTGGAAGGGACCATCCCAAAGTTATGGTGTGCTGTGGTCAAGGGTGTAGGCCCTGGAGCCAGATTCCCTGACTTCTAAGCCTAGTCCTGCCACTTAGAAGCTGTGTGGTCTTGGGCACTCCACGACACCTCTCTGTGCCTTGTTTCCTTGTCTGGAAAAAGAGGAGAACGCTAGTATCTGTTTCAAAGGCTGAAAGAGTTCATTCACCTAGAAGACTTAGAACAGGGTCAGTGCTCATGGAATTCATGATCCAGAAGAACTGGATCCTCACACATGCCAGAGTGAAATGGAACATGGTGTGCCTGGGGTGTTTTTTTCTTTTTCTTTTTTTTTTGAGATGGAGTTTCACTCTTGTTGCCCAGGCTGGAGTGCAATGGCGCGATCTCGGCTCACCACAACCTCCGCCTCCCGGGTTCAAGAGATTCTCCTGCCTCAGCCTCCCAAGTAGCCAGGCGCCCGCCACCACGCCCGGCTAATTTTTGTATTCTTAGCAGATTCTCCATGTTGGTCAGGATGGTCTCGAACTCCCGACCTCAGGTGATCCGCCCTCCCCGGCCTTCCAAAGTGCTGGGATTACAGGCGCTGGGGTGTTTTTTTCAGGTGGGAGAAATGCCGCTTGTGTATTAGGGAAGGGAAACTGAGACTGATCAGTCCTGAGCTGCCCCCAGCCTGACCGTGTGCCGAAAACACTGCTCCGTCAGAGTCCCAGTGGTGCTGTCTCATTTTCCTGGGGCCACTCCAGGTCTAACACCCAGCCCGCTGTCAGCAGTGGCCTTGGGAAAGCCCTGATGCCTTGTCTCCCTGGGCCCCTCTGCACAAGACTTGACGTCATGTTCAAGATGTCCTGGCTGGAGGCGTCGACACCAACGCAGCTTGTCTATGATGAAGGCAGACAACCTGCTCACCTGCCTCCCTGGGTTACAAAGCCTGCTGGTTTTGGCTGGGCACGGTGGCTCACGCCTGTAATCCCAGCACTTTGGGAGGCCAAGGCAGGCGGATCACTTGAGGTTAGGAGTTCAAGACCAGCCTGACCAACGTGGTGAGACGCCGTCTCTACTAAAAATACAACAACAAAAAAATTAGCCGGGCATGGTGGTGCACTCCCAGCTGCTTTGGAGGCTGAGGCACAACAATTGCTTGAACCCGGGAGGTGGAGGTTGCAGTGAGCTGAGATCAAAACACTGCACTCCGGCCTAGGCAACAGAGTGAGACTCTGTCTCAGAAACAAAAAACAAAACAAACCCCCAATCTGCTGGTTTTAAAACTACCTTTTATGTCATCCCACATCAGAAAAACAGGCAGTGTGGCTGGGGAGGGGGCCTAGAGGGCACTGAATCCATGTCCTGGCTACTGTTTGGATGAGTAAAGGCAGTGCCTGGTGCTTTCTGAAGGCCAAGGCTAAGCTCGGGATGACCACGGAACAGTATGTCTGTGGCTTGCTGTCCCCTTCCACATGCGGGTGCACACACAAACACACACGTCCAACAGGGCCCCAGGTATGCCCCGACCTTGGCATTCTCAATCCTCCATAATCTTTGGAACCGTCTGCTCCCCCCACTAGCCTGTGGCTCCCCCTGTGACCAGGGGCTGTGTCCACCCTCTTCCCCATGGAAGCTAAGGCCAGGCCCAGCAGGGAAATGTGCTAGTCAATGTCTGTTCTGACGAATGAACAAATGCACTAGGCTCTCTGTCACCGGCCTTCAGCTGGGGGTCCAGTCTTGGGGCTGGAAGCCAGAGACACCCGGCAGGAATGCCACGCCAGCTTATTCCAAGCCGTTTGGCACTGAGAAGCCCCCGGAGCAGCCTTGCGCCTCAGTTTCCTCAACTGTAAAATGAGGGAGACAGCAGTACCCATGGGGCTGTGGGGAGGATTCCATAAAGGAGTGATGGATTCAATTTATCATTGAATCCCCAGGACCTCGAATTTAGCTCTCAAAGAAGGCTGGTTACCATCTTTAAGATGCAATCCCCAGCCCGAGAACCTGTCCAAGATGTGCCTGGATGGATGCAGCGTCTTCTGATTTGAGCCCCACGTTTCTCCCGTCCCTACTCTGGGTTGACCATTGTCCCCAATGGAAGGGAATCTTTTGAAGGCGGAGAAGCTGTCCTCTCCTGGAGCTGGGCTGCAGCAGACACCATGAGTGGGAGCATGCAGCTGCTTCTGGGAACCGATCGCGTCTTAACAGCTAGGGACACCAAGACGGCACCAGGAAAATAAAGGATTCGGTATGATTGATTCTCTGCAAATCCCCCCATCAGCTCCTGCTAAAAACCCAACGCTCCTTCCGGTGCGGGAGGGAGGGGAAGTTCTCTCAGCCACCAGCAGCCTGCAGCTGGGGGCTGGAGGGAGAGGTCCAGTTTCCAGAGCCTTCCATTGCTTTCTCCAATGGGCAGGAGCACATGTCTGTATTTAAGACATCAGGTAAAGACTGACCCAGCCGGCTGAGGGGTACAGCGCCAGGTGGAGAGCACAGACCCCAGAATCAGGCCGCCTGGTTGTAACCCTGGCTCAACCATGAGCTGTGTGGTCTTGAGCAAGTGATGGGCCCTCTCTGGGCTCCTGCTTCCTCATGGGAGATAAGGATGGCAATAATGGTACCCATCTTGTGCGATGGCGTGAGGGTTGAATGAGTTAACCCATGGCTAGCACAATGATGACAATCACATGTCAGAGTAGTGGATGAACCAAGACTTCAATGGGGGAGGTGGAGGGAAGGAGGAAAGCGACCCTCATCCAATGCCCACGGTGTGCAGGGGCCTTTCTACCTCCCATTTCAGTCTCCTGGCCTCACCCTACAGATGGGGACGTGGCTCAGGGAGGTACAGTGCTTGCCTGAGTCACACAGCCGGGAGGCGACACGCCCGGGTGCGCTCAGTTAATCCTCGGAGATGAGTGTTCCTCTCATGCCCGTTTTACAGAGGAGGAAACTGAGGCACAGAACAACCCTGAGGTAACCGCCCTGAGGTCACAGAGCTTGTAAGCAGTAGAGGCAGATTTTCACCCAGCACTCTGGCTGGTTCCCATGAAACCGTACACAATTCAGACTTGCAGCTGGTTCTGCTGAGATTGAGCCTATTGCTCACAGGAAGTGCTCAGAACAGGGCTGGGTGCCACCCTCGACTCTCAGGGCCCCGAGCTCTCAGGGTGCTTTCTCTCCTGGACCATGGCCCCAGGAGTCTCACCCCTCCTGGAGCACTCTGCCCAGAGAACTCATCTCTCCTGGGATCCCCAGTCGGACCCCACAACTGCAGAGAGAGGCACTGGCTCTCAGCCGGGATGGAGAAGAGACCCGCAGGGCTCTCACGTTCCTGATGCCAACCAAAACACTAGGGTGGGCATCAGACATCCCTGAAAGCCTGCAGCCCTTTCCTCAGCCCTGCCTGGGACCGACAGCTGCCTCCTTCTACCCTGAGCAAGCCCATCAGCCCCTGGCCCCTCGTCACACTGCAGGGGTTTTTGAACCATTCCCTTGGGCTACACATGCTCTGTGCCAGGGCTTAGAGCCTGCTGCCGGTGAGGGGACCCCCGCTCCCCAGGCTGTTTGGCAGCCCCTCCAGTGAGTGAGCAGGCGACCACGGCCACCTTGTTGCCTGTGGCTCTGCTGTCGGGTTTTCTAATTCTGGTCACATCATGCCCACACCTGCCCGCCGCCCGCCGCTGCCACTCTCCTTCCCCAGACCCAGTTTGGGGTGAAAGCCTTGCTTATTAGTCAATCTGGATCTCACTTACTGTGAATTACCAGGCCTCATTGATATTCATGAGTCGTCACATCTGAAACCTCAGTCAGCTGCCACGTGACTCCCTGCCTCGGGGAGGAGGCCGGTCTGAGGACAGGGGCACCTGTGCAGCCCTGACCCAAGACGTCGGCCCCCAGATGGGGACAGTTCAGTGTCCTGGGAGCAGCCCCCGGCTGATAGTGTTCCATCCTGGGACTGGAGGCGCCAGCAGGGCTTTCCAGCAGGGCAGGTAATGGAGAAGAGGGGCTGGGGGCTGGGGTTGGAGGGCAGCTGGCAGCCACGCACTCAGTTCTCACTGCTGCACCTTTGCACAGGCCGCTCCTCCCTCCTGAACCTCCTCTTCCCTTTGCTCAGCTGCCTCCTACTCTCCCTTGACTGGAAAATCACTTCTTAGAGAAACCTGCTCATTGTCCCTCTGAAGGAGGCCCCCCAGCATCCTTCTCTCATGGCACCCTGCACTGTCCCTGCACACACATTACACAGGCGCCACTGGCTGTCATTTTAAGTCTGGATGTGTGGGGATGACTCCCATGGGGACCTGGATGTGGATCCTTGGCTTACCAACCAGTGCCTGGCACTGGGCAGCATTAAGCAAAACTTGGTGGAATGAATGGTTTATGTGTTTCCTGCAAACAAGGCACTCTGCGGTGGCTCAACACTCATCTCTTGGGTCTTCCTAACACCTCTGTGAAGGAATGGACACGTTATCCCTGTTTTCTGATGAGGAAGCAGATGCAGAGATGTGGGAATTGGGAAGGAGAATCCTGGCTGGGGTGATTTTCTAGCCTGTGCTTCCAGATTAAAGGGAGAAGTTTGACCTGTCACTCCTAAGGGACTGGGTTTTTCTTTTTTCTTTTCCTTTTTTTTTTTTGAGACAAGAGTCTCACTGTGTTGCCCAGGCTGGAGTGCAGTGGTACGATCTCAGTCACTGCAACCTCTGCCTCCTGGATTCAAGTGATTCTCCTGCCTCAGCCTCCCAAGTAGCTGAGACTATAGGCACCCACCACCATGGCCGGCTAATTTTTGTATTTTTAGTAGAGACAGGGTTTCACCATGTTAACCAGGCTGGTCTTGAACTCCCGACCTCAGGTGATCCACCCGCCTCAGCCTCTCAAAGTGCTAGGGTTACAGGCGTGAGCCACCATGCCTGGCCAGGGCCTGGGTTTCTTGGAAGCACTGGAATCTCATCTTGAGGGGCCAACGGCTTCTGCTCCAGAAGCCAGGACTCTCAGGCAAGATGCAATCAAAGTAAAAACAGCAATCAACTCAGAAAATACAAACGTTGACTGCACCCCTTCCCAGCCACCATCCCGCCTCGTTTTGAAAACTGCTTTACTGAGTTGGTTGGGTGGGCGAGGGGAGAGTTATGAATACACTATTCTTCTAAGTAGATCACCTACCTAACCAGAGAGAAGAGAGACTGAAGAATGGGGACTGCTTTTAAGACACCAGGAAGTTAAAAATCTGGGCTTCTCTGGGCAGGAACAAGGACGAGTTGGTTTTTCATCTCCCCCCAGAAATGAGGCCGCCCCAGCTGGGTGGCAAGGCAGGGTGGGGCAGCTTGCCCCTGATTCAGGGCTCCACAGCGAGGGCAGGGAGGCCTAGGGAATTGGAGAGGAAGCAGAATGCAGAGAAATGAGGCTAAATCCAAAACTCAGATTTCTAAATTCAAAGGTTTCCCAGGGAAAATGGGGTTTGAAATGACTGAGTCTTGGGAACCAGAATGAACTAGATCCGGCTGTTGAAGAGCCCTGGGGGCACATTTTAAACCGGGGATGGGCACCATTTCCAATCCACACGGCGGCCAATCTGAGCAGGCCGGCAGAGCGAATGAACGTGTGGGCACGTGCAGGGTCTGCTACGGAGGAGGTGGGTGGGGGGAAGGAGGGGGGCCCGGTTTGCCATCTGCCCTGGCAGGGAAGGAGGGATTGGCCTTGAGCTGGCTGGGCTGGCTTCCCTTCCTTAAAGATGATTGGGACTGGAGGCTGCCTGGTCCGAGGGAACCTGTCAGTGACCTCTGGGTGGTCCTGGGATCCACCTGGCTGTGATGATCAAGCTGGTTGGACCACAGTGAGGGAGAAAGACAAAGAGCACAGACCCTTTTGGCAGGAGGGAATTAATTCACTGGCCCACTCACACCCGGGGCGTGGGGAGCGCCATCTGGGTCCCTTGGCAGCACAAATACCCCTGAAGTCGGAAGACAACCATGGGTGAGGCTGAGCTCACCTGCTGGCCAGAACTTTCCTGGTTTTGGCAATGACAAGTCTCTGAATGCTCCGTTTCTCAAGGGGACAGTCTAGGGACTACCTGCACGCTAGCAAACACTTAGTGGGTGCCTCTCGCTTGTGGACGCTACTGTGAATAAGGCATGGTTTCTGTCTTCAAATTGCTGGCAGCAGGGTGACAGAGCACACAGACTCTACAGTGCAGTGAGGGAAGTACCCTACGGCAGTGACAAGCCCTACAGAGGACCAGAGGGAGAGCACCTGTCTTGGGTGGTCAGTGGACTGCTCAGAGGGAGTGATGTCTAGACCTCAAGGATGAGCAGGTGGTAACTAGGGAAGTGGGGTGAGGGAAAGGGGAGAGGGAGGCTGTCCCACTAATCTAGGCAGCACATGGGGGCTGGCACAAAGATGGTGCCCAAGGAAAATGATGGATACAAGATATATTTAAGAGGTATGTGCGAGAGAGACTGTATTCATGGTCCCAGTTTTTTGTCCCTTTCCAGCCCAAAACCATGCCTTCTGATAGACCCCTCCCTTGCTGACTTGAAGCTCCACCATGAGACTTGCTTTGACCAATGGGGCAAGTAGCAAACTTGGCACAAGAGGCTTTGAATAAACTCTTCCTCTCTGGCTCCTCTGCCTCACCCATGAAAAGATGCCTAGCCTGGCCATTTGGAGGATGAGAGAGCACTGAGTCAGTTCAGCCTGAAGCCAGGCCAGACAAGGAGACAGCTCTGAGATACAGAAGAGTCCAGCCAAGATCTGCAAAGCCACCTCATTAACCTGCAGCTGAGGGCAGAGGCGTGAATGAGCAACCTGGACAAAGACTGCCCACCTCACCTACAGACTCCTGAGCTAAATAAGCATGTAATGTTTTAAGCCACTGAGTCTTGTGATTGTTCATTAAGCAGCAACAGATAACTAATACAAGATGGAACTGGCAGAGCTTGTGTATGTAACAGGTATTTAAGTCTACGACTTTTCCTCTAGGCATAGCTTTAGCTGTCATCAGAACCATGAATGTTTCTATTACTGCTGTTTTTAGTAGATATTATGCAATTTCAGTGTATTTTTTGACTCAAGTTCTTTGAGAGTTTTAATTTATAAGAGCTTTTCTTTCCCCTGTTTTGATACAAATTTCTACTTTTATTGCATGTAGTCAAAGGATGTAATCAATATTATTTCCTCTTTCTGGAATGTATTGAGGTTTTCTTTGGTAGCCTTATAGATGGTGCTCTTTTATACATGTTCCCATGATTGTTTGAAAGGAGGTACATTACATTCTATGTTTACAGCAAAGAATCTGATTCCTGAAGGCAGAAAATATACATGTACACTTCACAATGGTGGATCCCAAACTGGGATACAGACAAATGGCAGGGGTGGGTTATATTTGCATTCTCACACTGATATAAAGAAATACCTGAGACTGGGTAATTCATAAAGAAAAGAGGTTTTAATTGGTTCATGGTTCCATGGGCTATACAGGAAGCATAGCAGCTTCTGCTCCTGGGGAGGCCTCAAGAAACTTACAATCATGGCAGAAGGTGAAGGGGAGGCAGGCACATCTTACGTGGCCAGAGCAGGAGGAAGAGAGAGAGGGGGAAGGTGTTACATGCTTTTTTCTCTTTCTTTTTTTTTTTTTCTGAGATGGAGTCTCACTCGGTCGCCCAGGTCAGAGGGCAGTGGTGTGATCTTGGCTCACTGCAACCTCCTCCTCCCGGGTTCAAGCAATTCTCCTGCCTCAGCCTCCCGAGAAGCTGGGACTACAGGCATGAGCCACCACGCCCAGTTAATTTTTGTATTTTTAGTAGAGACGGGGTTTCACCTTGTTGGCCAGGATGGTCTTGATCTCTTGACCTCGTGATCTGCCCACCTCGGCCTCCAAAAGTGCTGGGATTACAGGCAAGAGCCACCACGCACTTTTAAACAACCAGATCTCATGAGAACTCACTCAGTATCATGAGAACGGCACCCAGGGAGACGGTGTTAAAGCATTCATGAGAAACCGCTCCCATGATTCAATCACCTCCTACCAGGCCCCACACTGGGGATTATTATTTGACATGAGACTTGGGGGACACAAATCCAAACCATATCATGGGGGTAGGGGAGAAGGTGCCTGGTTCAATACAGAGTCTTAAGACTCCACCTCATTAGTATTAATTCATTTGGTACAAGGAGGGCCTGGTAATTGGGATTTTACCCCCTTCCATCCCAACCATAGCCAGGTTCCTATGAACCAAAGAAAGTCACTGACTGTTCTTTGAATAACATTATGCTTTATCTTTGATTGTTTATTGCTTTCGTAGACAGAGAAAGGGCCCTTAAAGTCTCTTGACTCCTCCCACTAATAGCCTTGTGAATTTGGGCAAGGCATGCCATCTCTCTGCACCGGTTTCACTTGTCAAATGGGGACAACAACCCCATCAATTCTGGCTGTCGTGAGAACTCCCTGGCTTATAGTGCCTGGCCCAGAGTAAGGCTCAGTAATTGTGACCACTGCTGCTATGATGGCCTTGGATTCCCGTGTTTGTTCGTTAGGTTCCGATGCCGGAACTGGCTTTCAGGCCTCTGCTTAAAAGACAATGACCTTCTGTCTCTTGCAATGAGTTAGCATTTACAGTTGAAATGGGGCTCAGCACCCACCCACGTAGTCAGTCTTCAGCAAACCAGACATGTTTCTAGATTTTATATACATATGATGTAAGCTCACTCATTAAGCAAATATTCTTTAGCTCAGACTATGTGTCCTGTGCTGTGCGGCTGCAAGTCATGGTCCCGCCTGAAGGTAGCCTTGCCCTCAGCTGAACCCTGTCCCCGAGATGCCTTCTCTACCTATTCCCATTCCCTGCAACTCACTCCAGGCCCCCTGGAGTGGTACCTGCCCCACTCTCAGGAACATGCTTTGAAGTTATGCTTTCATAGTTCCAGAGTCCACAAGTCTGAAATCCAGGTGTGAGCACGGCTATGCTCCCCTGGAGGCTCTAGAGGATACTTCCTCGGCCCTTCCAGCTTCTGGTGGCTCCTGGCGTTCCTGGCCTTGGCTGCCTCGCTCTGGCCTCTGCCTTCTCTACCCATCATCAGAACCTACCCACTCTGCTACAACCACGGCTTCAAAGTCAGCCAGGGAGAGAACAGGTCGGGCTTCGTGGGGTGAGGGTGTTGTTTCTGCAGAGGTGGTGGAGGGCCGGCCACAAGGTTATCTATAAAAGTAACCAGAAGGTCCGCTAGAGGAATGCTTTTCCTGGGAGTGTGGGCTGCGGGGGCGTGTCCCTGAGTGTCAGGGTGTGGAGGGAGAGGAGGTGGCAGCTTCACAGGCAGCTGGGCATGGCTGCTCTCCTGCTCTTGGACCTTCAGGGGCTCTCTGCTGCCCTCAGGGTAAGTCCACCTCTCAGGGTAACCCCTACTCACCTCCTGGGACACAGTTTAGAAGCCACGTCTTTTGGGAAGCCCTCCCCACCCTTCCTTTGGACACCTGCCCCACTTCTCCTTTGGCACCATGACCACCTGTTACTTAGCCATCTCCCAACAGACTGTGAACTTTCACAGCAGCAGTGAGCCTACTGTGTTGTATGTTTGTTTGTTTTTGAGGCAGAGTCTCGCTCTGTCGCCCAGGCTGGAGTGCAGTGGTGCCATCTCAGCTCATTGCAACCTCCACCTCCCGGGCTCAAGTGATTCTCGTGCCTCCTGAGTAGCTGGGACTACAGGCGCCCGCCTCATACAAAAAATGCCCAGCTCATTTTTTGTATTTTTAGTAGAGACGGGGTTTTGCCATGTTGGCTAGACTGGTCTTGAACTCCTGACCTCAAGTGATCCACCCGCCTCAACCTCCCAAACTGCTGGGATTACAGGCGTGAGCCACAGCACCCAGCTAAGTTATGTATTTTAGTAGAGATGGGGTTTCACCATGTTGGCCAAGCTGGTCTCAAACTCCTGACCTCAAGTGATCTGCCCGCCTCAGCCTCTCAAAGTGCTGGGATTATAGGCATGAGTCACCGGGCCTGGCTGATCCTGTTGTGTTGATTGCTGGATCCCTGGCCGCCAGTTCAGGGCTGGCCAATAGGAGGTGCTCATTAAATGCTTGTAGAGCAAGGAAAGGGGACTCAGATGGTCTGCAGAGGGTTGAATGGTGACCTCCCCCAAAATATACGTCCACCTGGAACCTGTAAATATGACCTTATTTGGGAAAAAAGGGTCTTTGTACATATAACTAACGATCTTGAGATGAGATTATAGGTGCCAACTGTCCTCAGAAAAGAAAGGCAGGCTGGGCGTGGTGGCTCAGGCCTGTAATCCCAACACTTTGGGAAGCTGAGGCGGGTGGATCACCTGAGGCCAGGAGTTCAAGATCAGCCTGGCCAATGGTGAAACCTTGTCTCTACTAAAAATACAAAAATTAGTTGGGCGTGGTGGCGGGCACCTGTAATCTCAGCTACTCGGGAGGCAGAGGTTTCAGCGAGCCGAGATCGTGCCATTGCACTCCAGCGTGGGTGAGGGAGCAAGACTGTCTCAAAAATAAGTTGAGCAAGGATCCTCCCCTAGAGCCTTCGGAGGGAGCACGGCCCTGCCCACACCTGGATTTCAGACCTGTGGACTCCGGAACTGTGAGAGCACAACTTTCTGTTGCTTTAAGCCCCCCAGTTTGAGGTATTTTGTTACAGCAATCACAGGAATTAACATACTGCCCTATCAGAGAAAGCCTTTCTGAAGATCTGCGGAAAAGAAGGACGTTAGGGAAAAGCCAGCCTCTGTGTAGGTAACACTCCGAGGGTGCACTTGGTCAGACACGAGTGAATCTACACATGGGGCAAACTTGATGCCTTATTCCCCCAGCCCCCAAAATTGGCATTTTGTCTTAATGTGTAAGCAACAAGATCCACATGTTACTTTGGAGTTTTTCACTGACAACCAGCACTAGTGTCTAACACAGTGGGTTAAGAAAAGTGGGTTAACTTTTCTTGGTTTAAGAATGTGATGAGGCCAGGCATAGTGGCTCACACCTGTAATGCCAGAACTTTGGGAAGCCACGGCAGGAGGACTGCTTGAGCCCAGGAGTTTGAGGCCAGCCTGGGCAACATAGGGAGACCCCTTCCCTAAAAAAAATTAAAAAATTAGCCGAGCATGGTGGTGCATGCCTGTAGTCCCAGCTACTCAGAAGGCTGAGGCAAGAGGATGACTTGAGCCTGGGAGGTTGAGGCTGCAGTAAGCCATGATCACACTACTGCACTCCGGCCTGGGTGACACAGCAAGACCCTGTCTCAAAAAAAAAAAAAAAAGAAAAAAGAAAAAAAAAAACCCCAAAAATCTGATGAACACATTAGATTCATGAGTCTTTTTCTTTTTTCTTTAAAATACTTTAAGTTCTGGGATACATATGCAGAAAGTGCAGGTTTGTCACATAGGCATACATGTGCCATGGTGGTTTGCTGCACCCATCAACCCACCATCTACATTAGGTATTTCTCCTAATGCTATCCCTCCCTTAGCCCTCCACCCCCAACAGGTCCCGGTGTGTGATGTTCCCTTCCCTGTGTCCATGTGTCCTCATTGGTCAACTCCCACTTATGAGTGAGAACATGTGGTGTTTGGTTTTCTGTTCCTGTGTTATTTGGCTGAGAATGCTGGTTTCCAGCTTCATCCATGTCCCTGCAAAGGACATGAACTCATTCTTTTTTACGGCTGTGATACATGAGTCTTTAAACAATGCTTATGTGGGGTTAGGTTCTAACGTCAGCTCAAAAGGTGGAAATCAAGGACAGTCAAATTGACCTTGAAAATGCCCTGGGAAGACCCCAGGCAGCACCCAACGATCAGTGGCTGAGGCTGCTGGCTGCCCCCAGCATTTGTTTTCCCGCTTCCTGTAGAAGGAGGGGCTGTATGTTTTGGGGAGCATATGGCTGCCCAAGAGAAAGACCATTTCCCAGCATCTCTTGCAGCTAGGCTCAACCAGGTGACCATATTCTGGTCAAAGTGACATGAGAATGCACAGGCTGTGTCCTTGAAGGGCAGGGCAAGCCCTCTTTTTCCTCCCCACTCCCAGTGACTGGGTGATGGCAGCACAGCGGGGTGCTGTCTGGGCCATGGAGGCGTGTCAGAGTGACAGTTCAGAGGGGCTGGGCCCCTGCTGCTGTCAGACCAGGCCTGTTCACCTTCCAACTGTCATGTGACAGAAATCCACCTCCATCTCATTTAAGCCCACTAATGTCTGGGTCTGTCACAGGAACCAACACATTCCCTGACCTATATACACTGTTGCTCTGGGAGGCGAACACAGCAGGCTGTCCCCCAGCACTGGGGCAGCTGCTGTTCTTTGGTTGAGCATTGGGTGAAGTTGTTGACTTGTGTTCAGGGTTCACAAAATACCTCGCAGCTCACAAAGACTGCAGTGAGATGCTTACACTATGAGGGTTGGGCAATTGAGCCTAGGAATATAAAATCCTGGGAGGTGGAGGGGTTAAGGGTGCCGGACTCCTCAGCCCCACATCTCAGCATCTCTGGGGAATGCAGTCTGAGAATCGTTCATGGGACGCAGTGTTTCCTGCTATCCCTTGCACGGACTGCCACATATCCAGCTTCCTGTCCTCTTCCACAAAGCCAGAGGGGAAGGAGAGGAGGGTCTTTGACTGTGGAGCCACAGCCTGGGAAAAGGGACTGCCTTCTTTCTGGAACATCGGCCACGGGCTGCTCCCCTCCTTTCCTGGAGCCTCAGTTTCCTCATCTGTGCCATGGCAGTGACAGCCCCTGCCTAGTGACTCAGCTCCCACCTGCGAAAGTGCTTTGTAAACTGCAGGTGTACAAGGTGGCAGCGATGTTATCGCCTGGAATCTTTTTGGGGACCAGGAGAAGGGAGGGCTCCTGACAGTTTCCAGGAAAGGCAGGAGCAGCTGCTATCCAGAAATCTGCACAACAAAATGTCTGCTATTGGCCTAAGCCCAAGGATGGGACATGGTGGCCCCAGTGGACCGCTTCCATGAAATCTGCAATTATGGGGAAGTGGGGCTTATTAAGGAAGCTGGAGGGGAATGCGGCCCTGGCTTCTAGCAATGCTATAATTAGATTGCAGGGCCCCTTTTACTTTGCTGACGATCCAGAAGGCCTTGGCCCGGGGCTTGTGCTGAAATACCCTGGCCTCCTGGGCAGCGGGTGATGGCCCAAGCCTGTCGGGGTGCAGAAGGACACTGCCTTTATGTTGGGGGGATGGGGTAACAACAGCTGAGGCTTGTGTAGTGCTCATGTGGGGCCGGCGCCATTCTCAGCCTTCACTTCATCCTGGCATCTGCAGGAGTCTGTCCTGTTCTCGGTTCACAGGTGAGAACACAGGCACAGAGAGGTCAAGGAGGTTGCTCAAGGTCACATTGTGGCTAAGTGGCAAAGTAGTAAAGAAGGGGTATGAATGATTGAAATCAGGGGTCGCCAAACCACAGCTCGTTTTTCTTTTTCCTGCTACTGTTGCCTGGTCTTGTCAATAAAGTTTTACTCAGCACATGTGCCGAGGCAGCATAGCAGAGGTGAAAGAGCCGGAACGGGGAATTCTGCCACAGTGTGACCTTGTAGAAGACACTCTGGGCTTTCTAATCTGTAAAATGATGGGGGTTTGCTTTAGATCGGGGTCACTGCACTTGATGCAAAGGGCCAGATGGTAAATATTTTAGGCTTTGCAGGTCATAAGGTCTCTGTTGCTACTCAACTCTGTTACATGCAGCAACTATTGACAATATGTAAACTAATGGGCATGGCTGTATTCCAATAAAACTTTATTCACAAAACCAGGCAACAGCAGCACAAAAAAAAAAAAAAAAAAAGAGGGCCATGGTTTGCCAACCCCTGATTTTGATCATTCACGTCGCTTCTTTACTACTTTGCCTCACGAAATTCATGTTTTTAATACTTTTCTTTATACGAATTCACCGGTATTCCTTAGAGCTTAGCAACACCATAGGTTTGATGACCTAAACAAATACAGGTTTGTATTTGTGGCATACATGTGAAAATAAACTTGTGAGTTAAAAATTAAAAAGAAAAGTGTGTGGGCCACCTAAACCATCTCCTGAAGCACAGAGGTCCGTGCTCTGTGCTTTGGGAGACATTTTTTAGTTCAATATATTTTTTTTCGAGATGGAGTCTCACTCTGTTGTCCAGGCTGGAGAGCAGTGGCACGATCTCGGCTCACTGCAACCTCTACCTCCCGGGTTCAAGTGATTCTCCTGCCTCAGCCTCCCGAGTAGCTGGGACTACAGGCACGTGCCACCATGCCCGGCTAATTTTTTATATTTTTAGTAGAGATGGGGTTTCACCATGTTAGCCAGGATGGTCTCCATCTCCTGACTTTGCGATGACCCACCTTGGCCTCCCAAAGTGCTGGGATTACAGGCGTAAGCCACCGCGCCAGGCCTAGGTCAGTGTTTTTCAAATCACTGAGGTGTTGAGGGGGAAGAGGAGTCTGGGTGGGGGAGGTCAGGCCTGTACCCTGACTTGGAACAAAGCAGTTTTGCTTAATCTGTTTAAGACATTTGTTTGGGAAACGGGTTCTGGGGCCAAAGGAGTTTGGAACCATCTAGAAGTGGCTTCAAAATGAACTTGAGGCCTGTGCAGTGGCTCATGCCTGTAATCCCAGCACTTTGGGAGGACGAGGCAGGAGGATTATCTGAGGTCAGGAGTTCATGACCAGTCTGGCCAACATGGCAAAACCTCACCTCTACTAAAGATACAAAACTTAGCCAGGCATAGTGGTGCATGCCTGTAATCTCAGCTACTTGGGAGGATGAAGTGGGAGGACTGCTTGAACCCAGAGAGGCAGGGGCTGCAGTGAGCCAAGATCGCGCCACTGCACTCCAGGCTGGGCGACAGAGTGAGACTCCATCTCAAAAAAAAAAAAAATAAAATAAAAAAATTAACTTGAAGCATTGAAGCTATGAGATTTCCCAGGTCTGTCTACACGGGGCTGTTAGTTCCCATGCTGACTCTTAGATTTCTTTTTTTTTCCCTTTTTTTTTGGGAGACAGCATCTCACTCCATTGCCCAGGCTGGAGTGCGATGGTGTGATCATGGCTCACTGCAGCCTCGACCTCCTGGGCTCAAGTGATCCTCCCACCTCAGCCTCCTGAGTAGCTGGGACCACAGGCCCACACTACCACAGCCGGCTAATGTTAAAAATTATTTGTAGAGATGGGGTCTCCCTATGTTGCCCAGGCTGGTCTCGAACTCCTGGCCTCAAAGCGATCCTCCCACCTCAGCCTCCCAAAGTGCCGGGATTACAGGAGTGAAGCACCGAGGCTGGCCCCTTTTAGATTTCTTAACCAAAGAAGGATAATTTCCTGTTATACCTCGGTCCAACCCTCTCTCCTCAACCTGAGACACGTATCCTCCGGTGTGTTCTCCACCTCTTAGCAGTCAACAGCTTACCGAGTTTAAAGCCAGTTCCTGCTTCCCTCCAAGCCAGCTCTTCCTGCAATGGTCTCAGCGCACACTAGCTTCCTTCTTCCCACTGCTTGGGCTGGAGCCAGGGCGCTAGCCTTGGTTGTGCACACCCCACAGCCAAACCTTTAGGCCACTGGCTGCATTTTCAGTCTGTCTACAGGCTTGGGCCACCTCACCCCTCCACTGCCACCTCCCTGCTCTGAGTCACCACCTCCCTGCTCTCCTGGCCACTGCAATGGCTTCTGAACACCTGTCCCTGCTTCAGTCCTTGACCTTCTGCTATTGATCCTTAACATGGTGGCAGACTGGGCCGGCTCTGCTCCCCTCCACAGGCCCAGACTTGACACCCAAGCCTGAGCCGGGTTGGCAGGCCCCTGCCCACTCTCCCTGGCTTTTTCTGGGGCCCGGGCTGTCCCCCTCACTCTCCCTTGAGCACACAGAGCTGTCCCCTTCCTCCCAGCTCTGCTCACATGCCACCTCCTCAGGGAGCCCTTCCTTGACCCTGCCAGACATCCCCAGAGAGAATGGAGCCTCAGCAGTGCCAGGGAAGCAATCCTCCACCCACTCATGTCTGGGTCTCCCCACATTTGACTACCAGCTCCTCGAGGCCAGGGAGTCTTATCTGCTGTGTCAACTCCTGCATTCCCAGCATCATGGCCATGCCTGGTGCACATAAGCTCAACACACATTTGCTGGGTGTTTCAGGTTTGAACCTCTCCCTTGCGCTCCTGGTCTGTATGAGCCCTGGAGGATGAAGCCAAGGACTCAGTCCTTGGAAGCCAACTGTCCTGAAGGTGGTCTCAGGGCTGCCCCCATCATCCCACTCTACCCTGAAAACCTATGATGCCTGGTCAATGCCTGGCACTGTCTGTCCACAGCCATAATGAGCTGCCACGCATGCCCACTGGTCCGGCACTGATGGCATTTGATATTTAAAAACAAAACAAAAAACACACTAGGGGTTCCATGGCAAGCAGGAGCTGAATAGGAGAATCTCACTGGGGGTGAGGAGAGAGAGCCCTTCACCCACACCGCCTTGAGGACAGGGCTCGAGTCGGCACACATTGGGCCTGCTCTTGCTGCCTTGAGGATAAGGCTCGAGCTGGCACACATTGGGCCTGCCCTCGCTGTAAAGAGGAGACAGCAGTTCAGGCCCTGCAGCAGGAGCGAGAGCACAGGGTGTGCCTCTGAAACCCAGCATAGGGCCGGGCCCCCTGCATGTGGGAACTGCCCTCACTGCTCTGGGGAGGTAGGGGCTTGGGCTTGTGCCAGAGCGAGCTGAGTGTGAGCCTGGTGGCAGCCCTCTGTGCAGCGCCATCTTGGGAATGTCACCCACCTCTCCATTTCTACATCTCCCATCAACTTACCTCTCACAGTTGCTAAAAGGACAAAGTGGGGCCACTGATTCCTTCCTCGAGTATTTACTAAGCATCTACTCCACGATGCAGCACGCACAAAATGGGCACAGACCTTGCTCTCCTGGGACTTCCGGTCCAGAGAGAGAGGTCAGACATGAAATAAAAACACAGAAACTGTTCACAGCTGTAAGGAGCTAGGGAGGTGTTCGGTGTGACGAGTGAATCTAACGAGGGGCCGGGGCTTGTCTAGGATGGGGCTTGGGAAAGTCATCTAGGCAAGGTGACTATTTCAATGGCCTAGGCGGCATGGGTGAATAAATTATTATTATGCAAGCATTCTATTAATCTTTTATTATTAAGACGGCTGAAAAAAATGATTACATATTATTAGTGAAGCTCAGTGGAAGAGAAGTGGGTGGAAAAGCTCTAACCCGAGAGGCCGCTTTCACAGGATGGGAGGATGGGTTACATTTTGCAAGGTGTACCAAAGGGTTAAAGTCATTTTCATTAAAATTTAAATTTCAGCATGCGCTCACTCTCCCTTCCCCGTCCTTTGAACGTTTGACTGGCAACCATTTCATATTTCAATCTCGGCAGAACAAATTGAATTAGATGTTGAAACCAAGCTCGGCTCTGTTCACCAAAGCCTGCGTGCTCTGCTCACACTAATCCTTTCCTAGACGCTGCGGAGCACAGACGGGCGCTGCGAGAGACGGCCCTGCACAAAAGACAAAAAAGACCAAGGCGGCAGGAAAAGGAGAGGAGGAAAAACAAGCGGGCAGAGGCTGCTGGAAATTGTCTTCCACCTGATGCATGGGGCTTAAAGCCTAGGAGACAGAGCCTGCGTCCACGCAGCAGGGAAGGCCAGTGTGGAGGCACACAGAGCGACCCGAGTTTCTGTCTTGTGTCTGGGGCACCCAGCACAGTGTCTCGCACACAGCAGATGCCCAGCAGGTGTCTGATGGATGAATGAATGAATGAATGAATGAATGAGGGAGAGGACTCACTCTATCAGCCCGTGCCTCTAGCCTGTGCCTGTTCCTCCCCTCTGCAGAGTGGGCCCGGCTATTCTCCTCACCCTCACAACTTCCTGAGAAGTGATAGCATGCTGCGCTCAGTGGCCTGGTGGCTCTCCAGTCCCCGTGCCCAGTGCAAACCAGCGGAGGATGCCAGCTCAAGTTTCTGGGGACGAAACAGGCAGACCTCCGGGCCTGGCTTGGGATCCCAGTGGCACCCCAGGATCACCCCATGTTCGCTGGCTCTTTCTTTAAACTGTGTAAGTCTGTGGAATGACCTAGAGGTGCTGACCCAGGGGCCCCGGAGTCTGGTTTTCAGAAGAGACAGTTCTGCTGCCGTGGCCATGGAGTCCTCACCCACTTGAGACCCCCCAGTTGAAAGGGTTAGGAACAGGCTGGGCATGGTGGCTCACACCTGTAATCTCAGCACTTTGGGAGAACAAGGTGGGTGGATCACTTGAGGTTGGGAGTTCAAGACCAGCCTGGCCCACATGGTGAAACCCTGTCTACTAAAAATACAAAAAATTAGCCGGGCGTGGTGGCTCACACCCGTAATCCCCACACTTTGGGAGGCCGAGGTAGGTGGATCACTTGAGGTCAGGAATTCGAGACCAGCCTGGTCTACATGGTGAAACCCAGTCTCTATGAAAAATACAAAATTAGCCGGGCGTGGTGGTGCATACCTGTAATCCCAGCCTTGGGAGGCTGAGGCGGGACAATCGCTTGAACCAGGGAGGTGAGCCCAGATCACGCCACTGCACTCCAGCCTGGGGAACAGAGCGAGACTTTGTCTCAAAAAAAAAAAAAAAAAAAAAAAAGAAAGGGTTAGGAACAGACACACAGACACAGCAATAGACAGGCAGCTGCTCCTGTGGGGGTGCTCACCTGTTTCCCCACAACCATTGGCCCATTTGGGCTTGAACTTTGGTTCTGTGCAGGAAGAGCCAGGTGCTGGTTTGCCTACTGGGGCCAGTGGGCAGGGGGGCACCTCCTACAGGCTCCTTCCTGGATCATAGGCTCCTCCCCAACATGGCGCAGCGCCCTGTGAGTCCCTATCCCGCCCCAGCCTCTGGACGTGGGCCCAGCTGGCCTGACATCTGCTGGGTGCAGCCCCACAAGCTTGCCTTGTTTTGAAGTTATGTTCACAATAATGATGGCAACTACCATTACTAAGTACTCACTAGGCATGACACAGTCTGCTAACTACTTTCCATTCATGACCTTCTGTTTCTGTCTTAACCAATCCAATGAGGCAGGAATTCCTGCACCCATTTGAAAGACATGGAACGCAAGGCCTGGAGACACTGAGAGCCTAGAGATTCTAACGCAGGCCTTTGGAGTCAGGGCCTGTGCATTCCGCTCTCCTCCTCCCGTCCCCACTGTCTCTCACTCCTGTCCCTCCTCCAGGCCCCACTGTCCCTCACCCCTGTCTGTTCTCCAGGACCTGTCTGACCACCCATCTCCCTCCTGCAGTCTGACTGTGTGTATCCTATAGTAGAGATGCCAGGGCCCTCCTCACCCATCCAGGGGTGGACCCTTGGTGGAGACGCCACGTGGGACAGAGGGAGAGGGCGGGATGCCTGGAGTTTCTCTTCTACCAGCCTTCCAGGCGCCCGCTAGTGCCCACTGCTGGCCAAACTGAACACAAGCCTCTTGATAAGGGAGTTTCAGAGACACAGCTCAAGGGGCCAGGCCCCTGAGACCCACAGCGGGTGGGAGACGGACGTGAGGACAGCAGATGCGGTTCCAGCCAGCCCTCCACTCTGGAAACAGCCTGTCCCCGTTCCTCCCAGCTAACTGAGCCACACTCTGAACACCGGGTCACAGGCCTCATCCAGATGTGTGCCTCTGGCTTTTCTGAGGCACGTGTCCTACTGACCTCCCACCTCCCTGTGTCCCTTTGGCCCCTCTGGCCTCTTGGTGTCACCTCTCCTTTCCTACGCAAGTGCTCTGGTCCAGCCTGTTATGGTTCTCTTTCCCGGCTCTCTGGTGACCATATCGGCAGGGAAGGGTCACAGCCCCCTGAGATGTGGCTGAGGCAGTTTCCTGCCCCCTGCAGCAGTCAGTCCTGAGCCGGGTCAGGAGGCTCACCGCCCTGGAGGAGTGCTCCCTCCTCAGTGCCACCTCTGTGGGTTATTTCTGGAGTTTCTCTCCCAGATCTTCTGGGTGTCTGTGTCTACCAACGTCCCATCATTGCTTCAAAAACAACCGAAGCCGCCTTTCAGAAAGCTCCCGTGTCCCCCTCCCAGTGACAGCGGTGACTCAGTCCCTTGCTGCCTTGGCTCAAAGGCTTAGAGTCTCCCAGTTCAACCCCCACATGCTGGATGGAGGAATTTCTCGTAAGACGCTTTCACCAGTCCCTCTTCTCCAAAGGAAGAAGAGATGAAGCCCCTCCTCTGGGCCAGGCAAATGACTTTTCCCGAGCTCCGCTTTATGGCTACCTGGCTGTACTTTACTGCATTCTAGAACAATGATGATGATTGTAACAAAAATCTTAATTGCTTTCCTAGTTCCCGTTTAAAACAGTTATTTTTGACAGGGTAAAAGGCTCTGGGTCACTGAGATCTTGCTCACACTCCAGGTTGTCCCCTGTACTGAGTGCTGTGACTGAGAGGGACAGGGGATGGGGGATAGGGGGTTGGGGCTGGGTGTAAAGAGGAGC
Source organism: Homo sapiens (assembly GCF_000001405.40). Taxonomy (NCBI): domain Eukaryota; kingdom Metazoa; phylum Chordata; class Mammalia; order Primates; family Hominidae; genus Homo; species Homo sapiens. The sequence continues at coordinate 113,820,082 of NC_000012.12, forward strand.
TGGGTGTGGTTACTGCAGACGAACTGATCAGGAGTCTGTCTCCCTCAGTGAGGAAGCAGAAGTTAAACCGGGGCATCCAAACTTTTGGCTTCCCTGGGTCACCCTGGAAGAACTGTCTTGGACCACACATAAAATACAATAACACTAGTGATAACTGATGAACTAAAAAAAAAAAAAAAAATTGCAAATTTAAGGAAGTTTACAAATTTGTGTTGGGCTGCATTCAAAGCCCAAGCTTGGGTTGGACAAGCGTGATTTAAGATCTCAAAGGAAAATAAAAAGGCGCCACGCAGGAAGAATGTGAGGGAAGGGCATCCCAGGCAGAGGGAAGAGGCAGCTCGAGGGCCCTGGGGTGGGAGCCTGCAGGGAGGAAGGCCGGGACAGCGAGTGCAGGGTCAGGTGAGGTGGGGCCTCGGTGCTGGGGTGAGCAGCGGGACTCGACTTTCCATGCGTCAGGGAGGCCCTAGAGGGTTTGAAGCTGCAGACTGACATGATCCAGCTCACGGATCAGTCAGGCCACACTGGCTGCACGAGGACAGCTGAGCCGGAAGAGAGGAGATGAGGGTGCAGTCTGGTGGGCGCGGCATGAAGGGGCACCCTGAGATCTCTGTGGGAGTGGACTCCACTACTCCTGTGTGCTCACAGATCTGCCCCTTCCAAACAGTGCGTGCCTGGGGCAGGGGTGCAGGGGCCAGGCTCAGTATATGGCCTCTAGGCTGCCTCACTCCCCACTGCCAATTCCAGGCCAGGCCTGGCGAGTGGCTGGAAGCTCTCCCTCCTCTTGCTACCTTTCACTCTCCTGCAGTTCCTGAACCTTCCCCAGCTCACCAGCTTTCTTTTGGCCACAGGGAAGGCAGTGACGCAGGAAGGGTTGGACAGCCCTGATTCCCATCATTTCACTGTGTGAGCCCTGGCAGGGGCCTGCAGCTGCCTGGGCCTGATAACGCTTTTGTGACGGAGATGCTACTTGCATCACTCCATTTTAAAGATGAGGAGACTGAGGACTCAGCAGGTTAAGTCACTTGCCGAGGCTCACGAGGCTGGAGAGTGGTGGACTGTTACGGAGCCCAGGCAGATCCGAATACAGAGCCCATGTCTGCTCACCCCGCACCAAGCCCTGGATGATGCTGAATCCTGCTCTGGGGGGAGGTTCTAGAAGCATCCTCTGGGCCAGTTAAGTCAGTGCCAAAAGATGCCTGCCTCTGCACCAGGCCCGTGGGTCTACACCTGAGTTTTGGTGATCAGCCAGCCATCCCTGCTGGCTCTGGTGGTGTGGAAATGTGAGTACAAATTGTATAGACCAGAAGGTTCAGCCAGAAGGAGCCATGTGCCGCCGAACAGGACACGATCCAGCTCACAGATCTGAGCAGTGGGAAGGCATGGGGTAGGTCTCCAGCCCTGTCATTCCGCATGACCTACGGCAACTTGGGACCCTGGTCACCTGAGGGTCGGCCTGGGTGTGGTTTAACAGAGACACTGTTCAGCCCCCACATCCAGAAGGCTGTGGTTGATGTGACTCTGTGAGCCACCCCACTATAAAAGCTGGAGAATGTGGCTGGGCGTGATGGCTCACACCTGTAATTCCAGAGCTTTGGGAGGCTAAGGTGGGAGGACCACTTGAGGCTGCAGTGAGCTATGATCATGCCACTGCACCCTGTCTCTAAAAAAATTAAAAATAAACGGCTGGGGAACGAGCCATTCTGTGTCTTTTGTTTCCACGAATTCTCAGGGATGAGCTTGGATGGCTAAGGGGGTGCCTGCCCTAGAGGACACGAGGCGCATGCTTGGTCGTGCAGGCTGCCAGCTCTGTGTTGCCTTGCCTGGGCTCTGGGCCACTCCGAAAACTGGATGAAGACTGGAACCTCATCCCCACCAAAATGCACAGACCATGTTTTATGCACAGAGTCTGAAGATTCCCAAACTCTCACTTGGAGGCCCACCCAGTGACTCTAAATGAAGAAGAAAACAAAAGTGCTGATGAGAATCTTCTCTGGGCTTTACTTGGCTTGACTCACTTAATTCTGGCACTGTCTATCTGAGGTAGGCACAATTATCACCCCCATTTCCTAGAGAGAAAAACAGAGGCTCAGCCAGGATGTCATTAGTCTGAGGTCGCACCTCGGGGAATGGCGATGTCTAGATTCAGACTGCAGTGAGATGCAGTGCAGTTCTTGCTCTGCCCTCTCCGTCTTGCCCTCTGCCTGGTGCTGGCACAGGCCCTTCCAGGCGGGAGGCTGCGTCTCAGGCTGGAGAAAATGTGAACACGGGCGCCTGAGAGAAGCCTGGGGATGCTGCTGGCCAGCGGAGAGGACCTTGATGCATTTCACAGGGCTCTGGGCCCGTGAGCAGAACGCGTCCACCATGAGTGACATCATTCAGCTCAGCCAGGGAGCTTGGCATCTGGGCTTGGAGCTCGATGCTTCATGAGCCGCTGGGAGGCTTCCCTGGGTGACTGAACCAGGGCTCGTGGTCCCAAGTGACGAGGATGGGGCAGGACAGAGACCAAGTCCCAAGCCGTGAACAGTCCCTTGGAAAGACATAGGTGGGAATTCTAGCTCAGCAGCCCTGGAGGGAGAGCAGGAACAGGGCTCAGCACCATGCCCGGCACTCTTCATGCATTACTGCGTTTATTTCTCTCTAAAACCTTATGAAGTAAGAACTAGCTAGCAAGGGGAAGGCTGGGCCCAAGGAGATAAGGAAACTGGGCCAGGGTCTCCCAGCTTGAGCTTGGAGACGGGGTTTCATGTCCAAGCAGCCTGATGCCAGAGAGCTGGCCCTCGTCCCCTTACTCTCCTGGGGTGGGGACAGGGGGAGCAGGGGTTCTAGCTCCCTGTGTAGCTGTTCCCAAGTCTCTCTTCCTAACGTGGCTGCTCCCTTGGACTCTTCCGTGTCTGCTACAGAGCAGGTGCGCAGTCAGTGTCTGCTAGAACGCGTCACTGGTGAAACCCAGGATGCCTGGGCCGCTGGGCAGTGGCCTGAGGCCTTCCTCATCCCCTGTCTCCTCCGACCTTGGACCAGTGCAGGGTGGGGCCGCCTGCCGCTCCCCGCCCCGCCCCCCAGCCCACATGGTGGTGAGTGCAGAAGCTGGAGCGGCTGTCCCGGTCCCCAGGGCCCCGGAGCCACACACCCTCTCGGTGCCAGCTCACAGCTGAAGGGTCTGCTCCTCGCTGTCGCTGTCACTGCCTTCCAGCTGCTCCAGGATCTCGTCCAACACCACAGACCGCTTTTTCTTCGGGGGCTCTGTGGGAGCCCAGATGGCAAGAGAGGAGAAAAGAACAGCCGAGAGGGTTGGGAGGCAGGAAGAGAGAAATGACAGAGGAAGGAGGGAGAGGGGAGAGATGAGCAGAACAAGGGTGCGGGGAGACAGAACAGAAGCGAGAGAATGCAAGAGAGGGAAGTTGGGGAGAGCGGAGGGAGAGAAGATACAGAGGGAGGTGGAGAGAGGATGGGGCAATGAAGAAAGATAAGGAGTAGGGGAGAGAATCAAAGGGGAAATGAGGAGGAGAGAGAAACACTAGAGTTAGTCTCAGCATCACCATGGCGGGGCTGCCTCCCTCGCACCCCCAGAAACTCTCCTGCTTCCCTGGCCATCCCCTCCCCATCTTCTACCCGCAGGGGAAAGGATTCCCTTGAGAAAAAAGAGAGAAAGGGTCTCCTGTGCTGCTTCCTCACAGCAGGTCAGA